>NC_000003.12:162190422-162493452 GCF_000001405.40 Homo sapiens
AAGGAAGCAGAGCATAAATGTTCAGTTAAGTTGCAGCCTGATAATGTGATAGAAAAGAAAATCCCATTTTCCAAGGAGAAATCCAAGCCAGCTGCACATATTTGCATAAGTGATGAGGAACCAAATGCTAATCCCCAACACAATAGGGAAAATGTCTCCAGGGAATGCCAGAGGTCTTCATGTCAGCCCCTCCCATCACGGGCCCAGAGGCCTAGGAGGAAAAAGTGGTTTCCTGAGCTGGCCCAGGGTCCCCGTTCAGTGTGCAGCCTAGGGACTTGGTGCCCTGCATCCCAGCCACTCCAACTGCAGATAAAAGGGCCAACATAGAGTTCTGGCTATGGCAGAAGGTGCAAGCCACAAGCCTTGGCAGCTTCCACATGTTGTTGAGCCTGCCAGTGTACAGAAGTCAAGAATTGGGGTTTAGGAACCTCCACCTAGATTTCAAAGGATGTATGGAAATGCTTGGATGTTCAGGCAGAAGTTAGCTGCAGGGGCAGGGCTCTCATGGAAAACCTATGCTAGGGCAGTATGGAAGGGAAATGTGGGGTCAGAGCCCTCATTAAGTCCCTACTGGGGCACCACCTAGTGGAGCTTTGAGAAGTGGACCACTGTCCTCCAGACCCCAGAATGGTAGATCCACTGATGGCTTGCACGGTGCACCTGAAAAAGCCAGCCACTCAATGCCAGCCCATGAAAGCAGCCAGGAAGGAAGCTGTACTCTGAAAAGCCACAGGGGTGGAGCTGCCTAAGACCCTGGGAACCCACTCTTGCATCAGTGTGACCTGGATGTAAGACATGGAGTCAAAGGAGATCATTTTGCAGCTTTAAGATTTGACTGCCCCACTGGATTTTGCACTTGAATGGGTCTTGTAGCCCCTTTGTTTTGGTCAATTTCTCCCATTTGGAATGGCTGTATTTACCCAATGCCTGTAACCCCATTGTATCTATGAAGTAACTAACTTGCTTTTGATTTTACATATGAAAGTCCATATGTGGAATGGACTTTCCTTGTCTCGGATGAAACTTTGGGCTGTGGACTTTTGAATTAATGCTGAAATGAGTTAAGACTTTGTGGGACTATTAGGAAGGCATGATTGGTTTTGAAATGTGAAGACATGAGATTTTGGAGGGGCTGAGGTGGAATGACATGGTTTGGCTGTGTCCCCACCAAAATCTCATCTTGAACTCCCACGTGTTGTAGGAGGGACCTGGTGGGAGATAATTTAATTTGAGAGCAGATTTCTCCCCTCCTGTTTCTGTGATGGTGAGTCACAAGATCTGATAGTTCTATAAAGAGCAGTTCCCCTGCATGAGCTCTCTCTCCCTTTGCCTGCTGCCATCCATGTAAGACATGACTTACTCCTCTTTGCCTTCCACTATGATTGTGAGGCTTCCCCAGCAACATAAAAACATAAGTCCAATTAAACCTCTTTCTTTTGTAAATTGTCCAGTTTCAGATATGTCTTTATGAGCAGTGTGAAAATGGAGTAATACATGCTTATTATACAAAAATAGGTTGGGATCTAAGATTAATATCTAAGTTGACATTTTAAAAGAATTGTTAAGAATCCAAAGGTTAGAAGTGGTTAAAAGTAAGAGTCAATAAGAACTAAAAGAACGTCATAGAGACCTTCATAAAGGTAATAAATTGACTACATCTATTTTTGAGAAGGCTATCATAGTGACTCTACATATTTTTATTTATTCCTTGACTTTTGATTAAGTGTTCATTTTCAGTGCTAAAATTTTGAACTCCAGATAACTGAGCTTCACTGTAATATAATTTTTGTCAAATCCTTTGTATTTATTAGAAATAATACATGATACATTACATTGTGTATTATATGTGTATACTTATTTTTATAATAAAATAACAAAATATTTAAAATGAGAATAATACAATATAAATAAACTAATACAATAATATAATTAAATATTACATGCATACTTATATAAACTTAGAGGATATCTCCATGTAGAAATGTTCAACACCAAAATAGAGATATGCTTAGAATATTTGTCATGTGGCATATTGGTGAGTGTGGCTAGGATGAAATGTAATCAGCTAATAAAAAACACAAAGGCTAAGTGTTTGAAGGCACAAGAACCAGAGTGATGGAGAGAGGGATGCATAGAAAAGCATCCCCCCCAACAACACAGACAAACATCTACATCAATATGTCACCCTTTCCTTTTCCTTGCTAACTTTGCAAAAACTTGGACACCAGAATACTGGCAACTGTAGAAGAGCATATCAAAAAATAGAATTTAAAGTGTTATCTAACTCTAAGCACATCTGTTCTCTAAATCAGCTTCTCAAAGATACATTTCATTAAAATCAATCTTGCCAACCCTTGTCACTTAGTCATTGACTCTCTGTTACTCTTTTACTGTCACCTTTCTTGACAGGATTTTGACAAGATCCAGAAGGTCAGTTAAGTTCTTTGCTGCTCTTTTCCATTAATGGTTTATTAACTAGGCAAGGCTAAATATATTCTTTTCTATTATGTATCTCTAGCCAAAAACCGGCTCTGCAGAACAGTAGATTTCTTCCCAAATACCATGGAAGTATCATCTCCCTCAGTCTTAGAAAGAGCATGCATGCAGATGTTTTCAGTTACACTTAGACATAGTTTTTGTTTTATTAACTACAGTGGGCTTGAGACGTTTTTCTCTTTCTGATAAAATCAGCATTTTTTTCAGAGTTCATTTAAATTAATTTGAAAATATCATCTTTTTCATTTTTCCTTCCAGGTTGCTTTTTTCCTTTCTCTCAGACCTGGATTTAGAATATTTCTCTTATTGTTAATTATATTCCATAGAAGTCACTAAAATATCTCTCTCAGTTAACACCCAATTAACTGAAGGACTTTAGAAGTAACCTTCCTCTGAAGCATACTCTGCATATTCACGGCTCCCTTTCTACAGTTTGCATTGCTATAGTGTTTCTCTCACTGCAGAGCTAACAGAAAGTAATTCCCTGAGGTCTAGTTCTAGGAGGATCTACTATTATTGCCTCCGTCAGGGGCCTTACCTCTTATCAAAAGGAGGGCCATTGCCATCAAAATATTTTTTAGAAAAAGAGATTTTTAAAATATAGGATTCTTGAAATGCAGGGGTCTTTAAAACAGCCTGCAGAGTAACTATGAATCCTTAGATAGCATATGCTAAAGCGTGTCTTAAATGTAAATTTCTAGGAAGATTAGTCATGGCTTTTTATCAAATTCTAGATGAATCTACAGCATTACCAAAATTAAATACTCTAAAATGATGCACAAATCTTGTATTTACATATATAAGAGATGGCATATGGTAACATGTATAAGTACAAACTTTTTAGCAAAATAAAAATCCATGGAATTTACAGTGAATTTAGAATTTGGGTATCACCACTATGCTTTCATTCCTTAATTTAGTCAAAAATGGCAAACAACTTCCAGCCTTTATCTGCCCTTCAGCACATTGTTTGGGAGCTCACATAAATATTCACATGCTGCTACATTCACATACACATATATCACATGAAGATTTGGCCTGACGTTACTGAAAACTTGCCATCTACATACTCTGTTCATTCTTCTACATCTACCATTTTTTTATAATCTAAAAAAACTTCTATAGTAAAAAGTTATCTTATTCATGGTAACATGTTTTGTTTTTTAATTTCCTATGTACACATTCTTTGTTCTAAGATAAACTTTTGCTTTTTTTGTTTTTCTTTGTATTGATTTCATCTCAAAAGATCTAATTTTATTCCATATATCTATACAAGAAACAAGCAGTATCCAGTCAATTTTAATACTAAACGACTTAACGCTGGAGAAAAATCAAATAAATGCAAAAATATCAAAAGGCAAATTAAAAGATAAATTAATACGGAGTGTTTGATAATATTTAATTTGTGGACACATTTCATTGAAAAAGCAGCTTCAGTTTATTTTGAGGAAGTCACAGATCTACAAGTGTGACAAATGGTGTCCACATGAGAACAAAGCATTCTGCCAGACTGAAAAGTAGAATACTCTCTGTTTGGTAACAGTAGCCGATTGGTTACTGGTTGAAATTGTTTCTAAATGTTCTTTCTCAATTATCTATAAAACCTACTACTTAATTTGCTACTGTGTTTGTATTAAATTTCAATGTAACTAACATTTTGAAATTCAAGTGTCTTTCTTCTCTGTTTAATAAGTGAGGCCCCTCCAAAAACAAACATCAAGGAGAATTCGCCTTTACCTTTGTAGTCCAGTGGCTGGAGAGAGTCAGTGGAGAATTACTCTGATGGTTGATTAAGCACATGTCAAAAACAACAGAAACAGGCACAACATGGTGCACACAAGAGAAAGAGGGAGACTGAAAGAAAGGAAAAAAGAAAAGTCAGCCTCGATGAAATTATTTCAGAATATGTAGATGTTTGCTTCATTTCAAAATAAAAACTTTATTTTCTATCACATATGGTAGCATGTTAGTATGTGGTGGGGTGTGGGGAGGGGGTGCCATAATACATTGAGTGCTTGGGCCTCCAAGGCTCTTCCTTTACCCAAGATAGACAGAGTGCATCTAAATTCAGATATTATAATTTTTCTTAGAAGGCAACTAATTCACTTTATTTAGCCAGATGTTTTTCCTTTTGAAGTTATTTGAGATTATTCATATTAGAGGGAAATGATGAAATGAATTTATTCAGCAATTAAGTATTAAGTTAGATATAAAGGAGTGTTTACATAAAACTACACTTTCTGAGTTTAATTTTCATCACAAATCCATTTTTACTGATATCCTAGCTTTGGGTCTTTCTTCATTTGGGGTCTCATTGTTTCTCATCTTTATCTATTGGCATCACCTCTCTGGGTTGCCAATGTTCTTGCAACGGACTGTCACACTTTGTACTGTGCCACAAATCACTGCTTGGGAATTGGCCAGAATCTGGGATGGGAGTGAAACAGCAGGGTAAAAATATCCCAGTTGATCATGTGCCTTCTTAGCCCACAAATCTTGGTTGGTAAACCATTGCAACTCATTCGTCGTCCAATTTCCTAGGACATACTTAGTATGTAGGCTTTATTGTCACTGTTGAAAATCCATGAACTCAGACATCCTTTCTCTCCTCTGGGGACTTGCTGTCTTGCATCTTTTCTGTCTCACAACCTAGAGCGAGTACACTCTCTTTTAGCATAAGCTGTGCTACCTCATCCTGATTCCTCTGCTGCTACAGCCACTCTCTGGCTTTCGTGCTCTAAGTCAGCAAATAGCTCTATTTTATGCTGCTCATCTGTTAAAGAGCTCTTTCCACAACTTGACTTTGATTTTGTTGACCTCTGTTAGGGAGCACATTCTATGCCCCATTGCTGTGTATTCCTGCCTCTGGAATAATTCCTAATTCCTTAATCAATGTATCCAATCAACATTAATTACTAAGGACCTTTTATATGCCAAGAGGTGTGATGATGAGTGCTAAGAATAAAATAATACATATGATAGATACACACCCTGCCCTTGTGAAGTCTTCTGTCTGGCAGAACTACTAGTGATTCTGAGGATATCTTTATTTTCATCAGGAGATACCTTTGTTTATTTAGGACAGAATTAAATTCTTCCTGGGAAACTGTCAAATATTGGTCTCTCTCCCAGCAAGCAAATCAAACATACATTTTTTGGTGGTTTTTTTTTGTGACACTTGCTGTAAGCAAATATTGTACATTCTTAGAATTTCAAATGTTTCTTATCGAAGTAGAGCCCTGGTACTGTATTACTATAGCAGAATTTTGAATGTAGAAACAGCATTCTGCTTCTTTATTTTCATCCACATTATTAATTCTGAATGCCTTATCCATTCTGTTCTCATATTCCCGTTTCCATACAGATCAGCAATGCATGCACCCCTGGGAGGGGTAATCAATTATGAGATAACAAGGTTAACCAGTTATCAATATCCTTGATTGATTGTTTATTCTCACTTTTATTTTCATTGCCAACTACTACAGACTGCAGGTTTTTAGCCTAATAAACATCTCTCAAATCCATAACTTTCCTCTTCATTCTTACCTTGTCCTCAAGTTCAGGACTTAGCTGGAAGTTGTCCCTAAACTACACTCTTTTATCCCTCACAAACATCAACCATATATTCACCAGGAAATATATGTTAAAGGAAATTCAAGCCATATTATTTCATGCATAAAATTTTTAAGTAGGTCTTATTGCTTACAGAATTAACTCCAATCTTAGTGGACTTAACATAGCTTGAGTTTCTGCCTTGTAGTCCTGACCCACTTTTCTCTCTTCTGGTTAAAGGCTGCTACCCAAAGACGTTGAAGAATATACCTGTAGTCAAACAAAGCTGTAGTCCTAGTACTATAGCAAAGCAAATGGTACCTCATAGAGAATAATAGGATATCTCAGTGAAAAAGTGTGAGAATAGGCTGGTTACAGCATTTGAGTTTGTGTGAGGTGAATGGGGGTGAGTTTAAGAAAGTGGGAAGTTTTCTCTGGTTTGAGTGTTGGCAGGAAGTAGGCTAAATATACAAATCGTTATCTTAATTCTCTTTCTCTTTTATTTTAAATCCGGGAGGCAGAAGCAGTGAATAGGAACTAAAACTGTAGTTAGTTAAGAACCAACAGTCATTTATGTCAGCCAGGTAAGAAAGATGTTCAGTTTTTTAATTGAAACACTGTCCTTGTTCTTCTCTTTTCAGACATAGATACAGTGTAGTTTTGGTTTTGTTTCACTCATTCATATTAGAGAGTACCTGTCTGATACTGTTGCTGTGGGAATCACTTTCGATTAAGTAGAAGACATCATGAACTACCTGTTGTTGCCAGGTCAGCCATCAGTTAACACTGGCTGAGGATGCTTTCTTTTTCTGCATAAATAATTTGGAACTATTATGCATGGGAATTTTTTCACTTCTCCTTTACTTATTTATTTATTCAACCATTTATGTCAGTATAGACTTATGATTATTTGTTTTGTAAGTTGGATTATAATACTATACTACTTTATTAATTCTATTTGTTTTGTTTTCCAAATTGTTTTCCAGCTTTGGCCATTGAGAGGTCTTTTCAATTGGCTCCTGTGCCCCTTTGACATTCCCCAAGGAGTGTTTTCATTTGTTTGTTTCATTACTGAGCATGTCCTCACTTTCTGGTGCCTCAGGATGCTCTATGTTCACCTTATATATTTTCTGCAACAGGAAAATATATTACTTAGAACCAGCTATTTATCCAAGAAGGCTAGTTTCTTTTCATTAGAGAATAATATTAGAAACCAATATCTGTGCTCTGTCCTACTGGGTAGCAGGTATTTTCAGTTGACAGAACAAGGAAACACATGTGCCTATAGACTATGTGTGTGTGTGTTTGTGTGTGTGTGTATAGGATGTAACTACACATATATATATATATATATATGATGTGACTACATGTGTATATATGTTACACTAAACATGAGTTTATGCTGATGTCTTAGATTCTAACCCATTACTACATCATTCATTCTAAATTCCTCCCTTCCTTATCTGTAAATTTGCACTCCAAGGGTAAGAAATCTAGCCGCCGTCATCTGCCATACGTTTCCTCAACTTTTCACTTCCAATGTAAATGAACAGCAGTATCAAAATTGTGAACCCACACGCTCACAGGAAACAACTTTAATTACAAGAATACAGCTTTATGTGCATTTTCTTTTACTATTGGTCCACTCATTTCCAGACTCCACATATTTCCGCAGTTACTTAGGTCAATACTTTTTTCTCCCACTCCTTTTACTGAGCTGGTTTCATATGTTTGTAATAAAGTTTCTTCTTTTGTCACAGTTTACATTCCTTCTTTGGTCTCCCACCTTTCTAAATGATTTCTTTTTTAGTTTGCGTATATTAAAGTCTACTCTGTGTTGTAACCATCTATGAAGTTTGACAAATCTATAATGTCTTGTATCCACCATTACAGTATCACATAGAATAGTTTCTCTGCCTTCAAAATCCCCTTTGTTTCATAAATTCAACCTTCATCTTTCCCTCAACACTCGGTAACCATGAATTTTTGAATTGTGTATATAGTTTTGCCTTTCCCAGAATGTTATATAATTGAAATCATACAGTATGTAACTTTTCACACTGGCTTAGTGCACTTAGCAATATTGACTTAAGGGTTCTCTGTCTTTTCATTGCTTTATAGCTCATTTATTTTTATTATAAATAACATTCCATTGTATAAATGAACCACAGTTCATTTTATCCATTCACCTTTTAGGACACTTTGGTTGTCAACAGTGTTTTGCAACTATGAATATAGCTGTTATCTTACTCTTTTTTAAAATGCACTTTAGGTGTACTCATTCCTTAGGTTGAGTACACCTAAAGTGCATTTTAGATATACTAATCATCTCTGTTTCTGTAATGTCATTATCATTAAAAACATCTCATTGTGTTATATTTATATGCTTATAATTCTTTTTTTCTTGCAGTCAACTGTAAATCTCTTAAGGACTTAGACCATGTCTAATACATCTGTGTATTCCTGGTTCCTAAACTGGATTTCAGAGATTATTTTTAGCTGAATGAATTTGCCAGGCAGTGTATGCAACAATTTATATTTCTTGTGCATCATATCATTTAACACCACACACACACACACACACACACACACATTCACAAGTAGGTTAAATGAATCACCCCAAATAAAGAACGTGAAATTCAAAATACTTTTCTTTAATGATTACCATATTCTGAGTTTTACCTATGAGGCTACTTTGGTAAACTTAGTCTAGTAGTTAAAAGAAAATTATATAAGTAAGGATTTAAAACTGTTGGAAAAAACTACTTTAGTCTCTATCTGTATTATTTGAAATAATATAAAACAAACTCATTAATATTAATGGAATCAGAAATTTTCTCTATTTAAAAAATAGTTATTCTTTTGCCTTATTTTTATCCTTAAAAATAATCTTTTTTGGCTGGGTGCGGTGGCTCATGCCTGTAATCCCAGCACTTTGGGAGGCCGAGGCAGGCAGATCAGGAGGTCAGGAGATGGAGACCATCCTGGCTAACATGGTGAAACCCCGTCTCTACTAAAAATACAAAAAAATTAGCCGGGCATGGTGGCGGGTGCCTGTAGTCCCAGCTACTCAAGAGGCTGAGGCAGAAGTATGGCATGAACCCGGGAAGCAGAGCTTTCAGTGGGCCAAGATCGCGCCACTGCAATCCAGCCTGGGTGACAGAGCGAGACTCTGTCTCAAAAAAAAAAAAAAAGTATATATATATACACACACACACACATACATACATATATATGTACACACATATATATACACATATGTATGTATATATATACACATATATGTGTATATACACACACATATATGTATACACATATATATGTGATATATATGTGTATATATCACATATATATGTGTGTATATACATATATATGTATATACACACATGTGTGTGTATATACACATATATATGTATATACACACATATGTGTGTGTATATATACACATATATATGTATATACACACATATGTGTGTGTGTATATATACATATATATGTATATACACATATATATGTGTGTGTGTATATATATATACACACACACATATATGTATAAATCTTTTTTGATTGGGTGTTTTGTGCCAAAGAATATTAATGCAGTAGACAGTTGTGAAATATTTTCAGAATAAACAAAAATGCAATTCTCTGCTTTTAGTTTAGTTCCGTTAAAATTACAACTCATCTGAAAGATGATAAACTATGTGCTACTTTTAAAGTCCCAAATATAAAGAGTCAAATCAATAATTCATTTCTCTATGAAAGAAGAGACATATTCAACATTTTAAAGAAATTTTCTAAATTACCAAGACACACTTAAAGTAGAGTGATTTATATAATTCTTTGTATATCAAGTTCTTGTGTTTTACTGAGAACATTTAAAATTAGTTTTATACATTTTATTAGCAATGGAAAGATACAACATTAGCTATAGCCAATTCTCATTATTTGTGGTAGTTATGTTCTATAAAGTAGCTATAAACACTGAATTAGGAAACATTGACCCTTTGCTCCTAGAAGAAATACAGGGTTAGGTTCCTGCAAACCTGTAGTCATATTTTCATCAACCAATCAACACATAACCTTTGTTATGTGTGTTTCTGCTTGATGTCTTATTTACTGTATATTGTTGATTCATTAACATTGGCTTAGAGTTAACAGCACTTAAATCATCCCTAAATGAAATCTATCTAATACATATATTTTGTCAATAGGGCACATTACAGCTTTCTTGTCCTTAGGAACTGTATTAGTCCGTTTCATGCTGCTGATAAAGACATACTAGAGGCTGAACAGTTTAAAAAAAAAAAAAGAGGTTTAATTGGAGTTACAATTCCATGTGGTTGGGAAAGCCTCACAATTATGGTGGAAGGCAAGGAGGAGCAAGTCACATGTTACGTGGATGACAGCAGGCAAAAAGAGAAAGAGAGCTTGTCCAGGGGAACTTCTCTATTTAAAACCATTAGATCTCACGAGACTTATTCATTATGATGAGAATAACACAGGAAAGACTTGACCCCGTGATTAAATTACGTCCCACTGGATTTCTCGCACAACACGTGGGAATTCAAGATAAGATATGGATAGGGACACAGCCAAACCATATCAGGAACACTAAACAATTCTTTAGCACTATGCTTGGGGGCCAGTTTATACAGCGAAATCAGCAACAGAAAGCATGCATACACACACAAACCAGAAAAAGTTTTAGCTGATGTGCTTGTTTATAACACATCAGCTGAAACAAGAAGGCAGAGCAGTTCCATTTTGGCCTCACTTTTTTCTTACAGCAACTCTGTGTGGTTGATTATTATTTTCCTAATTTTACAAATAAGGATGCTGAAGTTTCATGAGGAACAAGAAGGAAAGTTTCCAGGAAGAAGGTGAGGTTAATGTAAAATTTAGATTTAAATGCTGAATTAGAATGAAAAAGGGAAAGTGAACTTTTTAAAGCTGACTAATGGAAGGAAGGTTTGTTCAGAGCAGTACTTAGTCTACAGCTTATTATCTCTCAATATTGGGAAACTGCCTTCTGAGAACTCTACCAAATGACTGTCAAATTATGAAGTTTCCAGCATGGTTAACAGATACAAGCACTGTTTCCTTCTTGAGGGCAGAGAAATAACCATTTCAGGTAATTGGAGAGAACATTACTTGAAGAGCTGGGAATATTAAGCTTTAGACTAGGGACCATATGAAATCCACCTAACATATCACAAAAGCAAGACCTAAAAGGATCAAGGTGTGCTCCAAATAACTACATGCTAGAATAAATTTCAATAATATTTACAAGAATACAAAAATATCCAGCACTTCAAATATAAAACTCCCAATTGCTGGTATCAATCAAAGACTAACAGGTGTATTAGTCTGTTCTCACACTGCTATAAAGATACTACCCAAGACTGGATAATTTATAAACAAATGAGATTTAATTGATTCACAGTTCCACATGGCTGGGGAGGCATCAGGAAACTTACAATAATGGTGGAAGGGGAAGCAGGCAACTTCTTCACAGGGGGCAGGAGACAGTGTGTGTGAGAAGGAGCAAGTGCCACACTTTAAAAGCATCAGCTCTCATGAGAACTCCATCACTATCCTGAGAACAGCATGGGGGAAACTGCCTCCATGGTCCAATCACCTCCCACCTAATCCCTCCTCTGATATACGGGGATTACAATTTGAGATGAGATTTGTGTGGTGACATAGAGCCAAACCATATCACCAGGAACACAAAAAAGCAGGAAAATATAACTTATAGTGAGAAAAATAATGAATCACTTGACACCCACCCCAAACAAGTACAGATGTCAGAATTAGCAGACAATGACATTAAGACAATTTTTACTGCAGCTATATAAACTACAGAAGTAACGTGGGGTTAATTGACCTTAAAAGATGATTATTAAAGAAATAAGTAGGCCAGACATGGTGGCTCGTGTCTGTAATCCCAGCACTTTGGGAGGCCGAGGTGGATTGATCTCGACGTCAGGAGTTCGAGACCAGCCTAGCTAATATGGTAAAACCCCGTCTCTACTAAAAATACAAAAATTAGCTGGACATGGTGGTGCATGCCTCTAATCCCAGCTACTCAGGAGTCTGAGGCAGGAGAATCGCTTGAGCCACAAGGCAGAGGTTGTAGTGAGCCAAGATCATGCCACTGTACTCTAGCCTGGGCAACAGAGTGAGACTCCGTCTAAAAAATAATAAAATAAAAAATGAGTAATTAGTTCTTGGACCAGAACCCTCATATTAGAAAATAACATGATCAGATAGATTAAAAGAAGGGAAAATTAAAAGAAATTCTTACAGGATTGTGTTGAAAAGAGGAAATCATTATTGTAGAAATAGTGTCAGGTTTGTAGTCGCTCCAAATGAGTTTCAGTCTTTACTCTGCCATTTACTATTTATATGACTTTAGAAAAAATATCAATTACTGTGAGTGTCAGTTTTCTTATCTGTAACAAAGGAATAATAATAATAACTCACACTGGTATAAATATGTAGTAAAACCAATAATATACTTCATATATATGAATATATACACATACCTTTATACTTATGGACTTCACTTATACACATATGCGCAAACACATATAAGTGTATTCTCATGACAGTTTAAAGTGTGACTTGGCCATAACATAGTAAATGAGTTTACATGGGCAGAAGTCATAAAATTCTGATAAAACAGAGCATAACTTTTTTCATCGGCATTGAAAGGTCCATTATTTTAGGTGTGTTTTTTAGATTATATTATTAAGGAACAAAATTATTTTGTAGTATTGTTCAGGACATGTGATGGACACGAAGGCTTTAAAAATAAGGGGAGACTAGAGACAATGTTCAACCTTCAGCTTACAAATAAGAATGGGTTCAGGGAAGCCAACATAATTACCCACGTTAGAAAAAGAGCTCTTCTAACCCCGACAGGTTGTCAGGATTACAACAATAAAGAAAACTTTTTTAAAAATGTTAATAACTGGGGAAAGAAAAAAATGTAACTTTTTAATTTTAGCAGTGAGGTCACAGGGGGTCAATCAGAATCTAAGACATATGATTAAAAAGACCAAAAATGTAACTGTGCAAGTTTGGATTATTCATTTCTGCTATCAACTCAGTTTTTGAATTCTAAAGCAACCTAGGAAAGAGCTTAGCTCTTGCAGTGGGTGGTGGGGCAGAGTTACAGACCTTATTTGGTACTCTCATTGCACTATTTATAATTCTGTACAAAAACAGACATTTTTACAGCATGATTTTGTAGTTGTCCTATCTCTAGGGGATGTGTAAAAACAAAATAACAAGCATTTTTGTTAGGTTAGACTTGATATGTAAATTTATGACTAAGATAGATCGATATTTTCTTCAGACTAGTGATTTTTTTTCTCTTCATAATATAAAAATAATTTTAATGAGATAACAGAAACAAAGTTTAGTTAAGAGGCATAAAATTTGTAGACATGTCAGAATTTCCTGATAAATTTGGATTTTCAGCCTACTTACAGCTGTGATTAAATAACAAAATTCAGGCTGGGCGTGGTGGCTCACGCCTGTAATCCCAGCACTGTGGGAGGCCGAGGCGGGTGGATCAAGAGGTCAGGAGATCGAGACCATCGAGACCATCCTGGCTAACACAGTGAAACCTCATCTCTACTAAAAATACAAAAAATTAGCTGGGCATGGTGGCAGGCGCAATATTCCGAGCTACTCGGGAGGCTGAGGCAGGAGAATGGCATGAACCCGGGGAGGTGGAGTTTGCAGTGAGCCGAGATCACGCCACTGCACTCCAGCCTGGGCGACAGAGCGAGACTCTCGTCTCAAAAAAAAAAAAAAAAAAAAAAAAAAAAAATTCAAAGATATATCTAGAACATACTATCACAAAATAAATAATTCTACATGCTGCTACACTTTGATAGAGTGTTGGTTAATTTTAAAAACATTAGTTTTTATTATACAAGTTCCCATCCTCCCCCTTTCATTTGGATAAAGGAATTCCAACAAGAGAGTCGAAATTGAGAGCAAATACCTTTGCCATATTTTGGATCTTATTAATGATGCTACTTGGGGGGGAAATCTGCATCCTGTAGCTTGACTTTTCATGCTGATTTTGACTTGTTAGATTTAAGTAAAATGACATATCATAGGTTAATATGAAGTAATAAAATAAAAGCTTAGCTTAAGATTTTGTAATCTTCATCAGTGGATCTGTTCTGAGGTGCTAAAGGATTTTCTATAAGGATTTACTTATTTATTTTTGTTTTTACTTTTACAGCAATATAAAAGGACATTGGAAGCATTCTGAATCCTCAAGATGAGCACTTTGCAAGTGAGTTCTGTTAACTGATTTTATAGCTGTATTTGTGATTATCTTTCTTGCTTCTGTATTGGGGCTAAAGAACTACTAAAATGGCATTAGGATTTAATGTTTTGCTTCTCAAACTGGGATCTTTAGATATCTGAGGATCTATTGAGATATTTTTGGGAATCAGTGAGTTCTCGCTTTACTACTACTACTACTACTACAACACACACACACATACGCACACACACACACACACACAGGAGTTTCCTTTAGTTACTTTATAAAAAATGGATGTTGAAACACTATTGATTCTTGGATCCTGTTAAACATGCTTCTACTTCTTCCTCTCCTAACTTGTGAACATCCACTCAGGGGAAAAAAAGCAAAATGTACCATATGATGGGCAGGAAGGCTGGCAAGAATCTTGTAATCTCTCTTCATCAATGGATCTGTTCTGAGGTGCATCAGAATTTTCTATAAGGATTTACTTATTTATCTTTCCTTTTACTTTTAGAGCATATTGTTGGCAAAAAACTCGGCTGGCAAGAAACTCACAAAATTATTTTCAAAATGTAAAGTTTCATGATAACAAATCATTCATTTTTATTAAAATGAATAGTGAAAAGGCAATGATGACGTTTTGCATGGATAAAATAGTAAGAAGCAATTTCAACAAATAAAGGGTAAAGCAATGACACAAGTAAGATTTATGAATTCAAAGCTCATGCTTATTTCACTTGGTTTGTGAAATATGCATAGCGCTTCTCAACTACAGCTTTTCATCTCTTGAAGTGCCTTACTTATAATGCTTTTTAGTCATTGTATGACACATAATGAATATGAGTTGCACATCTTACTTCAAAATAATACACTATACCTTACTATGAATAATCCAAATACCTAGAATAAAAAATCATAACTTAATAGTGTCTCCAAATATATTTAGTTCCATGGTGAATCTAAACATTAAGTGAAAATAGCATATATATATTCTAATTTTGCTCAAAATATGTTAATTTTGCACAAATCCTTGAAACTGATTGCCTTTGACCCACCCCACCCCCAAATCCCTCTGCTGTACATAACTCTTCTGGGTGATAATGAGGTGTAGGAGAGCAATTTTAGCAAGAGTCTGATAATGTTGCTCTGATACCACACTAATTGGTACAGATCATAAGGACATTATATTTTTGTGATCTACCCCTCTCAGTTTCCTTCTAACCATTAGTGTCAGTGGGTAGAACTGGCTATACATGATGAACATACAGCTATATAATTAGTTATCCACACTGACCTTGATAACTGTGACTGAGAAAAACAACAAATTGTGCCATACCAGGAGACTCTTTGGCATATAAGCTGAACCTAGCCCCTTAACCCTTTTATAAATAATTCAAATTAATACCTTCTTATCCTCATTCTTTTTCTGTGGTTCAGTTCAACTCAGACTTCTCTCTAGATTTTCCCCCATGTTAGGGGTAGATTATCACTAAATACTCTTATCTCTAAATACTGCTTATTTAATTTCCATGTGTTTTTTTTTCATAATAAAAGCATTATATGGTGGGAATCCTATTGCCATGGCAACCAGGAGTGGCAGCATCACATCATCTGAAACCTAAATAATGCTTAACAAAACCGCTGCTGCATTTTCATCTCACCTTGTTAAAATGATGTACAATCTCTGCAGTGCCTGCACTGTTATTTTATTTGTTTCTTCACAAGGTCTCAGTAACCTGTAATATATTCTCATGATTTCATATCTACTTTTTTCACTAATTAACATTGATTCATTTTTCCCCACATAATTATATAAGTTATCCACATCAATATTGCACATGCATTCCTATTTTTAAGAGAGTGAAATACACTGAGTCAAGTTAAAGTGAAAAATTTTAGATGATTTTGATATAACTCATGTTATGTGCATTTCTATAGAAATAGCTAATGTCATTCAGAAATGAAAAAGTTTTTTAGATAACACATTAAAGCTGTTCAGGCTGACATAATATGCACTTACAGTATGAACTATGTAAATAGTATATGCTAATTAATTGGGCACCAGAGTGATTTATCATATTTCACCACACATACAAGGATTGTAACAATCGTAGAATATAGAATGTAGTATGTGTCTCTTGAACCATACACACAGTATTGTCTCAGTGTCAGTGCTAGGATGAATAAAAGCATTTCAATTTGCTTATTTTTTGAATTTCTTAAGTTCCTGCAGCATCAGGGATAAAGAAAATTGATGAAAATACAAAGGTGAATAAGACAAAGTACTAGTCTTCAACAGTCTAGTTTTAGTTGGCAAGAATAACTATTAATTTCCTTGGTTATTAAACTATTATTTGTTATCCTGCTGATTTAAAAATCAATATTTATCTTAAAACTTATTTTTTTTTCATTGTTTTAGAGTCAAAGAAGTGCTTTACTATTCATTTGTAACTTAGATGCCATTGAAGGAAGGAAAGACAAGGACCCGACTCATGCTGGAATCTGGAGTGGGTTTTTCAGGGGCAGACAGAAAACTGTTTTACTATGAAAAAAGATCAGCGGGGCATCTTATGCACATTATTGGATTGTATGCACATATTGCCAAGGAGACCTCATGTTTTTGTTAAATATATTAGTAAAGACTTTTGGGAATGCTCCTCAAGCAAAGGAACTATACTATAGAGACTACTCCACGTCTCTAGAGTAGTGACTTCACCAAAACCTCATGGTCCCTCTCCCAAAGTCCTATAAGTGTCTTACTTCTCAGACCAATATTTTAGTCTTCCCATAATATATGTAATAAGACATTCTAGGGGAGGTTGAAATAAAAATACAATAAAATTTTGTCAGAAATCAGAATTGTCTTCATTTGTGAGATATATAAATTATCAGTGAAAAAGTTCTGTTAGCTGTTCTAACACATCTTGTTTCTGACAGAAAAATGATGCCCTTGGTTATCCCTACTTCCACTTGCAAAATACAGTATTATTGAAAAAAATAAATTATCCCTGTGACTATTAAGATTTTCTTAAAATGGGATTTGGTCTTTAGCAGAAAATTGTATTACATTTCATCCTTACTAAGCAATTTACTTCTATGCTTGATATACATTTCAATTGCCACTTTGGGAGGAAGCTATATTTTGAGATGGTTGGAAAAAAACCTTACCATTCTGTCAAGTGACTCATGCTACTTTTTGTAAAGGCTTATACAGAAGTTTTGATAAAAGGAATATTTAACTACCTTCATGGTCAGTCCTTTATAGATTTAAGAATAAAAAAGTGATTGTGGAATTGTTTAACTTACTATTATTTTTTTCATTCTTATTACCCCCTTTTCCCCATAATATCCACACACTGTATTCTTGTCTAGTTCCATTCACTGAGATCATTCTCATTCATCTAAGAAGTCTTGGTCTTCTTTTGTGATTGGGTTATGAAGAGTTTAAGGTCAAGATGACATGACATTTTGATGAAACCCTTTGACATTTGCAACTTTTTTAACAAAAGCATTTAATGCCAGGAGCTTTTTGACATAGCACTGTGATGTGCAATTTTCACATAATGTTGTTTTTGACATGGCTTAGGAAAACTTAATTTTTCAGCTTGTATTATCATTATTGGCCTCACCTTATCATTGAGCTAACCTCACCGTACAATGAGGACAGGAGAGAAGGTAGGTTCTGTGCAAAAAGCAGGTGTTAGTGCTAGAGTAAAGTTTAGGCAAGGGTTACAGAAAGGGGATTAATCCCAATCCAGATGAAACATCATGTATCTAGGAATCAATACTTAACCTCTTTTCACATATCACAATGCCCATCAATTGTTAAAATAAGTATGTGCTCATTCTCTCAGGACTCACCTGCATCTGTGATTGCTTTATTTCAAACTTTCTTATTTATTTGCATCAACTATAAGACCTGGAGAAAGATGGTATTTGAACACAACAAGATCACTTATTATCATTTCAAATGGCTTAGGAAGTCCAGTTTTTCATTTTATTTCTAATAAATAGTTCTCTGTATACAAATTACATATAATATTATTAAATGGAAAATTTGGGAGATAAACCTGATATCCCCTTAAAGAATAATGTATATCTCATATTAACATATATCTTTATTTTGTATTCTAGAGGTAGCATCTAATTATGCAAATGTTTAAATAAGATATAAAGTATAATACTTTGGTAATTGAGGTCTGGGCTAGACATGTCTGTAGTGGATATATTTTAGTAAAAAGAAATGAGATTTAAATCTAATGCCTTAACAAGGTTTTTTTTTCACTCCATATTAAAATGACTGAATCAAAATGGCAATGTCAAAATATATTGTTTCAAAATAGTCAAGCCAAAAATGATTGCTATTAAAGAGTTGGGCATTTGAAGAGGTAACTACAGTTGAATTTCTTTACCTTTCTCATTTTTTCTAGTAAGCTTTATTAAATCCTGTGCCTATGTTGTCACTGAGGTGTGAACTTTAGCTGAACGATCTTTGCACCAAGATGTCATCAACAGCATCATGGTTCAGAAGAGGGATTACAAATGCCATGTAGTCAGTGCAAATGCTATGTGGTCAGTCCCCATAGCAAAACCCACTGCATTACCGGATGAGATCCTTGAGGACTGAACCAGAGGAAGCATGCCATCTTTCTTAATAATTGCCCGATCCTATTGCTTACATTTTGCTATGGGAGAAAGGTGAAATAGGAAGTAGTTGAAAAGATTTTGTAGAAAGAGATATAGGATACACAAAATTTAATGAATCCTTATTTTCCTGAAATGAGCTTCCGGTATTGCTCACACCTAGGACAGTGGTTTACACCATGCTGTAGTCAAGTCTACCTAGGCTATGAAAACAAGATTAATCTTTTCTTCCATGTCTCCTTATTTACATTAGGAAAGTTATAAATTCTGAAGAAACAGAGTGGGTGTTTAGGAGAGGGCCATGGTGGGAAGTCTTCAATAATAAGAGTTAAATATTTATTTTTTAAAAAGAATTTCTAAATAAATTAATGACCGTACATGTTACTTGGGTACTCTTTGGTTGACAGTAGTGGAAAATGAAATTTTTTTTTCTTCCTTGGGGATACCTAACCTCTTCATGACTTTCCTATTTTTTATATTTTATTTGATTTTTCATTCCTCTTATTAGCCAAAGTTTTAATACTTTTGCATTCTGCTATATTTTCCTCTTGGAAGATTGTCACTGAATACATAAAACACATACATGCACACAGTTTACAATCATTCAGATTCTCTCCTGCCTCAGTCTAGGGACTTGAATCACAATATGTTGAAATACAGAATATAAAAGCAAGTTGGTTAATGTGCTGACAGCTTATTTTGTTTGGAAGTAGTTGCTTGTAGATGGGATATAAATTATAATTATTTCACAAATAGATGAAGAAAAGCTCCTGAACCAGGGAGAATAAGATTCTCTGATATATGATGAGGTATCTTTTTTATATATCTTGAAACACCGATTTAGCTATCAAAATTGTTTTCAGTTCTGAGATAAACATAATATGAAAAAAGAAATAAAGCTAATTTAGTCTGGTGAATGTCTCAATATAAACAGTCTAGATATAAGAAACATGGTTTTGTTATTGAATCACTAATTTTTCTTTTTAGCCTAGAAATCTAATTATCTGAAGGCCTTACCGTATTATTTATACAGGACTAGAACTCTCATATTCAAGTGTCTATTTTGTTTTCTCCCACAGGCGTAAAGAAGCCAACCTAAAAGAAGGACTGAGTGGGAAATACAGGACAGTAAGAGGCCCTAACTAAATTCAGCCACTTTAGTATGTGGCTGGCACACACTAACTGAGGGCAAGAGCAGAAAATACTCCTCTGGGTAAAATAAGATTTTCATAGAACTCAGAGAATTGTCTTCTGGTCAGGGGAGAAATGGCACTTCCATCAGTTAAAAAAGTATTATTATAGTTAGAACTTGATATTGCTAAAAGCTATCCCAAAAAGAGAGTGTGCTGCTTTCATCTACTTGTGAATGGAATTGGGGCTAGCTGCGTTTCTAAAACATCATAAGATCTCCTCAGATATTTCACTCTCTTCTTCATTCCAACTAATCAAGGACACATATTCAATATTTTGTCCAACATTTAAATCATTATTACTCAGCTATTTCCAGTTTAGGGTTGCTAATACCATACATTTATTTCAATATGTGGTGTCCATAGAAGATGAATTTATTATGTGGTTTATAGATAATACCATCTGAAAAATAGATATTTAAGAATTCCACTGGTAATGTGCTTTTTTTTACTATGAAGAATTCTTTTTATTTGTAGACTATTTTTTAGTTGCCAAATTCTTGCTCTCTCACATGTTTTTGGAGTTTCGCTGCCATCCTGTGAGAGAGGCAAACTGCAGCAGCTCTGGAAACCACTTGGTCAGGCAGTGGCTGTCACATTGTGCTTGAAATGATGAGATGCCTCACTTCTCCCTCATCACCACTGAATAGAAATTCATGCAGCTTGCAAAGAATTATACCTGATTTCCTTTTAGTTGTGGCTAATGCTTGTCAAAAGAAGAGTGGGAGAACTGGAAATGGGAGAAGCTTTCCTTGACACTTTCATCTTACCTTCAGAGTAATGTTCCAAGAGGCATAGCTGGAAGATATTTGGAGGTGTTCAAGAATCCAGGAGCTCACAAATTCCAGCAACATATGAAAAAAGAAGTCTTAGGGCAGTGATGCTGGACTCAAAAGCTCAGCAAAGCTTTGTTTTGTTCCTAATTTAGTTTTTTTCTCTCATCACTTTCCTTCCACACTGCTCCCAGCTCAAGAATCCAACAAAGACTCTGTTTTCCCTTTCTCTTTATGTGGATGACAAGAGAATGAAGCTGCTTTTGAATGCATGCCTCAACATTTTTATGTGCTATAATTTGTACACTCACTATAAAAGCCACTCAAAATAGCTTCAGATGCCACAGGTTACTCATCTATGCAATGAAATAGAAAAGGCTTATAGTTTACTTTCTGAAATATTTCTTTAATGTAGCTAGACTTTCATGTCTCTTTTACAAGTTTTAAGTCTTGTTTATTAGTAATCATTTAAATATTTGAAGGAAATAATTATACATTTTCATACTTACTAGTTTTATTAGTTATAAAGAAATTAGCATATGACATCCAAGATTATAGCTTAAAAATTAATATTTTGTATTCCCTAAGGTTTTACCATATTTTAAAAATATAATATAATTGCATGAAATTTCATTTCACATTTCATAAAATGCTGGCTTGTATCTTAATTTATTTTAGGTCTGTGTAAACGTGCTAATACATCTGACTGGAATATAATAAAGTGGTTATTTCTATGTCTGACTGAAAGTTATAAAGTCCTTAGAACCAGAAGCTGAATGCAGGAAACCCATGGTTGTCATGGTAGCCATGAAATCTTTAGATGCTTCCGAGTGAGTATTGATCAAAAAGACAAATACAGACCATTCTCAAAATTTTGTGATCTTACTGTCTGAGGTCATTTGAAAGTCCCTATTAGAAATATCTATCTTAAAAATTACAAAAAATCTATACAAATGGGTTACATTTGTATATAAATCTATACAAAATCTATACAAAATTGTATAAAAAATCTATACAAAAGAGAATGTATGTATTTCCTATAGATGAAGATCAAATAATATTAATTATATCCTTTTTATGATTGGAAAGGGAAGGGCATTTACATCAAATGATGTACATGAATCAAGTTGAACATATTCCTATAATTTCTAGATTTCCAAAGTCAGACAGAATACTAGAACTACAGTCAGTTCACTAATTTTCAGCTATCAACTTTATACATTTTCATCCTACTAAAATATATGTAAAGAGATATAATAGCTATGCTCTTTAAAGTAATACTGTTATCACTCTCATTTCATATATGGAGAAACTAAGGTTAAGAGAGATTAAATTGCATCTCTGAAGGTTTTTAAAGTTCCTATTTCTATATATAAGTATATATATTTTTAAAATTACTGAAATTAGGGTAAAGATTTCAGGCAGAAAGTCATTTTTCTCTATATATCCTTTTGTCTTACATTAATCAAACTTATCAGTGAAATACATTTTAAGGCAACACAATATAATTTTAAGGGAATTTAAAAAATATGATATCAACTTAAAGTATCATACACATTTGTGATATTGCCCCAGTGCATTTGATTTCCATTTATACTTTAAAATATAGTGCCATTTTTTTTTCTGTGAATAAAAGTATCTAAAATATAGATGAGCCAATTTAAGATACTATAGAAAGGAAAACTTGTTTAAAACTATAAAGCAAAAATTATACCCAGCTTTATACTTTCATGAACTTTAATTACCATATTTAATATCCTTCCAAAGAGTTTATACAGAAAGTGCTAAAATAAACCAAATTTCCTTCCAGGTAAATATCTCTTATCATTTAACTCTTAGGCTGTGAAAAAAGTACCACGTGCAGGCACAGGGCATTAAATCTTCAATACTTTTTATCACTTCTCATCATCTCAGAATATTATATGAAACTTAAAAGGTTTCAAAATGAAACCTTAAATATCAAAAGATATTTAAATATCATATTTAATATATCATATTTAATTTAATTTAAATTAAATTTAAATATCATATTTAATATCAATTTAAATATCATATTTAAATATCATAGAGCCTGAGGGAATAAGCGTGGAGATCCTCAGAAAAGTGATTCTTTAGGTAAGTGGAAGATTTGGAGATGTCTACTTTCATATGATCCCAAGGCATTTTCTACAATCAGCTGGTGGAGCCCTCTCCATTCTTCCCTTTAGGCTCTCTTTGGGAATCATTGCTGAGCTTTAGCTCTGTAAAGGAAGAACTGAGGCAATCATCTAGGATAGGAAGGAAGGATGGGAAAGGGAAGAGCCCTTTTATTCATCCAAAAGGATAAATTTTCAGTTACAGCAAATAAGCTTAGAATTTATTCTGTGATATGGGGGGTTTTAAGCAAATTATTAAACATCAGCTCTACTGAAATCATAAGTACTGATTGGAAACTATAATCAAAATCCTAAACACCTTCTTCCTGTGTGTACCCAGGTTTCAGGTTGCTTTCCAACAACTTGTATACAGCCCGGTACACAGATACACAGAAAGTACCATATGGAGACACACAGAAACTTGTCTTCTCTTGGAGGTCCAAGACAGTTTTAGAGCCAAAACATATGCTACAAAAGTTTTGTTCTATCAAGCCTGAAACTTTGAATGTTAGCATCCATGATCACAGCTGCCTGTTCTACAATATCTGACATATTTGCATTACTGGTATTTTCCATACTGTTGTCTGTTTCTCCTCTGTAAATTACGTGACAGTTGATAATCTCATCGCCTTTAGTCTTTCCATTAAGTACTGCAAGAGAAATATGCCTATCAAATCTATCACACATCTGCTCATATCTTCCTTCTGTACAAAATTCTTGGCTGTGTCATACATAGTAATACCTAATAAATATTTGTTCGATGGATGAATATTTCCCAAAGGCTTGCAGCAGAGATTCTAAAACTTTGGGAGACAGAAATAAGTGACTCATCCCCCATAAGAATAAATCGGTGGGAGGAGGTGGCAGTATGTAATACAAAAAAAAAAAAAAAAATTTACATGTTCAATAGATCTATTATTTTTCTAATGCAAACTACTAAAATACAACTTGTTTTGCCTAGTAGATATGTGTAGAAAATTGACTAAAAACAAATATTAGAGGGAATACAATTTTTAAAAGGTTGAGAAATATTGGTTTGAAGTTAAAAATTTTAAACTTTTTTTGTTTGTTTGGCATCGGAATCCTTCATTGTGACCCTTGTGAGTGATCCAGGCTCACCTCCACTCACTCCACATGTGGATACTGCCCCCTTCTTCTCCTCATAACCAGAAGCATTATGACCTTCCTGGAATATACAGTGCCTCTAACACTTCCATTATGAAGCCTCTCCTAACTCCCACAATTTTAACAGCACTATCTCCTAGTCTCTCCTCTTAACATGGCCAAAAATAGTCAATTCAATTATTTCCAGAGTATGTTTGTCTTGACATTAATTAAACTAGTGCCAAAGATTATAATACTAATTGTGAAACTAATTTAAAGAATTTAACAGACCTTAGCATTACACACTAAATAAGATATTGGTGATTTTAAAGAAGTATTGAAAGTGACTTTAAATAGTTGTATAGGCTAAATTTTCCATGGCAAATGTGTCAAGTTGAACTCACTTTGAATATTATTTATATGATATATAATGAAAATAGATATGTGATCAATAGAATATCCTGAAATATTCATGAGTTATTTTCATCCAATTGTTTCAGACACTGATAATTTTTTAAAGTGGAATTTCAGTTAGTAATCTTAGTTGTTTTGAAAATAGATTAAATTTTAATTTAATATGTGAATTTAAAACTAAATATATTTTTGCTAATCAAATATATTTAAGATAAAATTTTAATAAATATCACATCTTAAACTACTATTAGGATATTTAAAATGTACTACCTATATTTGCTGATATTTCTTCTCTACTTGAATCTTAGTTGACCCTTCTCACCTCTTAATTTGGCAAATAATATCTTCCCAAGAAGATTGGTCTTACAGAGCAGTAAAAAGAGCTTTGTAAGTATTCTCGAAAATACTTGGGAGAGCATCTTTTGCTTTGGTTAAAATTATGACTTTTTTTTCCAAGTATAAAATTTGTTCTTACTGAGAGACATCACTATTTTGTGAATATTAATCACAAAATAAGTTATTGTGACTTAATATTGCTTTAAGAACCTATTTAAATATACCGGCAGTATAAATAAAATCTAAAAATTGTAGAAAAATAACCTTATATGTGCATGTTTGTGTGAAAATTTGTGTAGATCAAGACCAAGTCAAATTTATAAACAATGCAATTTTTGATCACTAAAGTATAAAAAGATTTTGGAGACAGAAATGGTCAATACTTGCAAAAGCAAATGTTTTATCGCTTAACCTCTGAATTTTGAGTTTTTCTCTGATTAACCTTCTACTCTATGATTATAAGCACATTTACAAATGTTATTCTAGCATCCATTTTTAAAAATTTCTAATGCATATGGACATTATTTTTGTGGAAGTCCAAAGAGTTATTGAATAAAACTTTCCTACTTATGTGTTTATACATTTTATTTGTAGAATATGTTTCAGTTACTTATAGAACGAATACTTTTGTTCTCACTAAATTGGTATAATATCATATCTACTAGACTTTAAATATTTATATCTTTGTTTAAACTTTTAATTTTGCCAGAAGAAAAGAACAAAAGCAGTTAGATCGTAGAGAACAAAAGAGCTTAATTTTGCAAAATAAAAGTGCTCTTATTAATAAAATAGTGTAGCCCCATAAAAAACTAAAGAAATGATATTAATAGGAAAGTTTTACAAAAATATAAACATTATCAATAAGCATGAAACAAAATCTCTTTTCATTTATAATTCAATAAAAACAAGTTAAAATAACAGCAAGATAATTGTTTCTTCTTCCTTTTAGTAAATAAAAGTTTAATGAAACCCAGTTTCGGCAACAATGCTGTATTAGTTCGTTCTCACACTGCTATGAAGAAATACTCAAGACTGCGTAATTTATAAAGAAAAGTTTAATTGACTCACAGTTCTGCATGGCTGGGGAGCCCTCAGGAAACTTACAATCATGGCAGAAGGCACGTCTTCACAGGGCAGCAGGAGAAAGAATGAGTACCAGCAGGGGAAATGCCAGATGCTTACAAAACCGTCAGATCTTGTGAGAACTCACTTACTATCTGGAGAACACCATGGGAGAAAATGCCCCCATGATCTAATTACCTTCACCTCGTCCTGCCCTTGACACATGGGGCTTATGAGGATTACAATTCAAGGGGAGATCTGGATGAGAACACAGAACCAAACCATATCAGATGCCCCAAAACAAACTTTTGTGTACTTCTTGCTGAAGAAGTGAGTTGATGTGGATTCTTTGGAAACAATTAAAAAATGTCTGTTACTTAATTGGCATTGGTAATATGTTCACAGTAATTGCAGTTTAGAAATATATTTTAAGATTTAGCTGCACCCCAGAAAATGCCACCTAAATTTATAGTGCCAGAAAACAGATCATTGGTTGCCTAGGGAAGGGGATAGGAAGAAGGGTGTCAATTCAAAGGGACAACTTTTGGGGCTGGTATATACATTCACTGTGTTGATTTTCATGATGGTTTGAAGAGTGGCAAAATCTAGAAAATTCTATGCTTCATACGCAATCATTACATTTCAATTATACCTCAAATCTGTTGATAGAGATATGTACAAATATAAAAAAATTTTGTCAAAAGTCCCTTGCATGATCATTTGAAAAAGGACCAACCTGTACGCAATCTCCTACATGCATTGTATCTACCAAAAAATTGTTAACTAGAAAATATTCACAAACTACCCTTTATTCATAAGTTACTTTAAAAAACAGAATAAATAAAAGTATGTACAAAACAACACTAGAAGCAAATTGATAGAAAACTTACAGAGAATGTTTTCTTTATTCAAAATGTGCACATTTTCTAATATTGTTTTACTGTGAATTTTATTTTTTAAAAAGAAGAAAAATATTTTAACAGATAAATAAGACATAGACACTATGAAAGACTGTATTCACTGAGTAAATCATGCCAAATTATTTCTTTGGTTGCTATGGGGCAACTAAACTGTTATATTCTGTTGTTAAACTAAAGAGAAAGCATTTTAATTTAAGCAAAGTATACAGCAAAGGGTTGATTGTATGTTGTTTGAGAAAAAAAAAATGATAGCTCAGTTTGCTTCACTTTGGCTATGGTTTGAATGTCCGTTCAATTTTAAAGTCTGTGCAGTGCTATTGGGATCTATCCTGAATGTTTATCCCCCATGGATATGTATGGGACTGGAAGGTTTTCTGTTACTTCACTTCTCAAAGTCTTTATTTAGTTTGCTGACTAGGATCAGATTCACACATGTGCAGCTCTGGGAAAGAAGCCCAGGATTTTTATGAATAATTTTATGGCTTTGATTTCCTGAGCCTTCTTTGCAATTTCTGCAGTACTTTCTGGTTCCCCTGGGCTTCCCTTTTTAGTCCTTTGGCCAGAAAGTTGGTGTTTTCGTTACTTCACTCTGGCACAGACTTCTGTGGCTGTGCCCACATCTGGGGTCAAAACAAAATAGCAAGGAACAATTGTGAAGATAATTCAGCTCACACTTTTAGGACCACAGCACCATTGATTGGACAGGAAGATTTTGATCCCTAATACATTTGGTTCCTGTGGGGTCCCTTGCAGGTGTTACTGTTATAGACAGGATTGTTTCGACCTAGGAATAAAGGACCTCTGCTAGAACTCTCTGTGTCTCAGTGCTCACTTCAGGTTTTGGCTTAATATGACCTTAGGCAGGGGGTAATAGAAAAATAAAACTGGTAGACTCACCACTGATTCCTTGATGCTTCAAGTTGCCATTCTTTCCTGACTTTCTGGCAACTATTTGGTATTCAGAGTTCTCAAACAGCAAATGCATGCATTCTGCCCAGATTTCATAGCTGCATTCAGAGGGAAAGACATGGTGGAGTGTGCTTGCCCCAACGCTTAGAATTAAAACCCAAACAAATACTTTTTATTTAATAAATTTGCTACAAGTCTTTTTCTATTAAATTCAGTTCCAGTGGGTCCCTTAACTGTTCCTTTGACTAAAGCATATGACTGGAGTCAATAAAATTTACATATTGTTATGATTTTACTTAAGAATATGTGCATATAAATATTTCACTTTAAAATTAGCTTTATGCATATCCATTTTTCTCAAGCTCTCCCTTTGTTCACTTCAGCAGTGGTCCAGCCCTGATTGTCTCTTTAAGTACGCTTGCCTACAGTTCATAAATCATAACGTGTAGTTCATATCAATGATATCAGCAAGCTTTATTTTAAATTTAAAAATTAGTTTTGCATTTTAAAAAGCTTTAGAACAGAGACTATTTCTCTAGATGCCAGAAAGCCTGTCATTTTCTTTACGTAATTCAATTAAATGCACGTGTACTAAATGTGAAAAATTGACAGAAGAGTTCTAAGGGTATAGAATGAACTAGCTGGGAAATCTTTGAATGTTCACATGAATGGTGGATTATTCCTGGATAAGGGAGATGTTTTACTAATTAGCATGCATATATCAATTTATACAGTTTAGCCAAGGTTATCCTATGCTTTGGAAGCAAGCTTCATGAATTTGGAGACTATGAACCATTGGCCAGGGCCCAGGGGAGATAGAATATCTGAATAGTCTGGCTTAAAATTATTGTTTAATTTTAAGGCCCAAATATTCATCTTTATACTTATATAACAAACAGAAATTTGTTCATGAAAGCTGGGGCTAAGTAGATTTTCTTTTTTCTATCATTTAACACAGATGCAAAGCTTGACCACTTCTGACCACCTTGACTGCTACCTACCCGGTCCAGGCCAATGCCTTCTATTATCTTATCATTGCAATAGCCTCCTAACTAGTCTCCTTGCTGCTGCTCTGTACTCTACAGTGGAAGATCCAGAACAGATAAAGTCATCCTTTTAGGACTTCAATCAGATCATGCTGCTCCTCTGTTCAAAACCCTTCAATGAGATCCCTTCTTCACTGCAGTAAAGCTGAACTCAAAGTCCTTACAATGGCCCACAACACCATTTGTTGGACTCAAGATGTCTCTAACCATAGCTCCTACTAATATTTTCTCTATCTTCCCTGCTTCAGCCTTGTGGACCTCTCTGCATTTGTCTGAACATACCAGAGACACTTCTGTCTCAGCAGGACCTTTGTACTGGCTATTCCCTTTATTTGGGATTCTCTTGTCCCCTGAACTCATATGGTTCATTCCTCCCCTCCTTAAGTGGGAGCTTAAAGGATAGAGTTCAACGAGGCCTTCCTGGCCACTTTATTTAGAATTGCAACTTTCTATACCATTGATCCTTACTATTCCTCTTCCTGGCTTTGTTTTTTTCTATAATTCTTATCATTATCTGATATATAGTGTATTTTATTTAATTTATACATTAACATATTATCTGTTTACCATCTCCTAGATGGTAAGCTACAAGAGAGCACAAATTAATGTCTGTTTTGTTCACTGCTATTATATCCTCAGAGGGTATAAGTGTGCATAGCACTTAACAAAATCTAATAAATATTTATTGAATTAATAGGTAAATTCTTTAACAGGTGCTTGTAGATATAAGAGCATGGTGCTTACTATACTTATACACTGGACAACACAAAACTGATTCTGACAGCTCTCCAATATCGATAGATTTCTAATCAATATTATTCAACAAAGTTCTTCAGATAAGAAGTGGAGTGAGTTCTGCCTCTTCTGGATTTCCTTCACAATACAGGGGAGTTTGATTATAGTTATATGGGGTTGTTACAAAGCCACTGGAGTCCATCTCTGGAACATTTTTCATACTTATATTTGACTTTCCAGTCTTAAGGCAATTGCCCTAGATTCTGGTCTCATTAACTCTCAGCTTTTTTATGACAGTAACTTCATAACTGGCTTTCCAATTTGTCTTATTCCCCCAGTCTATCATACACATTGCTTTTTAAGTAATCTTCATAAAGGATGGCTCCAATTTTGTCAGCACCCCCACTGAAATGTTATTTCATAGCATTTGGGGACTTTCATTATCTGTTTGTTTTTTTGCCTTAACTACCAGAAATGATTCCATACTAAATGTATTTTCTTCTATGCAATTAGAATCTCTTTACTCTCTAAACCTATCTGATATTTTTCATCTTCCAAGCTTTTGTCCAATGCTATTCCTGTATTTGTCAGTGTGTGATCCCACCCAAGTAGTCCTGGGTCATAAGTATGTATATAGAATTGAAATCTGTGTTAATGTCATTCTGTGGGAGAACCCATCTATAGCTTCCTTCATGTAACTCACAGATTGTCTAGAAGGAGGGATCTAAAAAATTTGCTGATTCCATTCAAGCTGTCCACTGGATTGTCTTCCATCTTCCAAACTCCAAGGAATACCTCCAACCACATTCCACGAGGAAGTGGGAGAATGAAGAATGGGGGTGCCCATATTCAAAGCAGTGACCCTGCTCTTCAGCAGTACTTGGTATCGGTATTTAGTTGGTTCTAACTTGACCCCCCTCAAAGTTTCCTCTCAGCCAATATCCTAGGAAAACCCATCCTCATTACACCCGTTAAATGTTTCAAAAGCCTATAAATTTTGTGACTTCTTCTTCTTACAGCTGGGAGTGGTAAGTATGCCCTTAACAAACCTATTAGGGAGCTCAACGAATAAACAGAAAATTAAAGTTCTACTGCTAAGATATTTTAAAACATGGTCAGCACACAGGATGGTCATTTGACTCCACGGGAGAGATTGTGAAAAAGCTTTAGGATGGGTTTAACTTCTTTCTTTTCTTCTTTTCCTGATTTATTTCAGTCTCTGCTCCACCTCCTCTTTCTCATTCTGTGTGCGTGTGTGTGTGTCTTAGTAGATGTGTAGAGAGCAGCATATAAATTGAATAGAGATGAAGTTAAAATGGAGGTTGAGATTTTTATTGGAAGGCATGAAATAAGAATTATATTTTTCATTGTTATAAAAATGATTATGAATTTGGAAAGACCTTCCAAATCAATCATATACAGGATGAAATAACCCATAACAGGCACATATGGCAAAACATATGTGGCCTAATTATTGGTCATACTGTAAATGGCAGAGATACCCTGTGAAGGCCTGGATGGTTAACAAAAAGAATGACAGAATTATTTAAAATGATGAATGAAGTAAGGGGAAGAAGGAAGTGAGATAAAGTGTGGTATGTGGAAAAAAATCTCTAGATTTAAGTTTCTACTGAGTTCACCCCCCCACCCCCAACTTTGTAAAATAGGAATTACAGTTCATGGCTGCTGCCTGGATATAGAGCTTTTGTCAAGATGAAATGAGATAATATTTGTGATAGCATTTTGAAAAACTCATGCATTTTCTACAGATTACGGTATTAGTAGCAACTCTTTAAAAGTCAAGGCACTTACCATATCTCAAAGTATTAAAAGATAAAGTACTTATTTTCAGAATTAAGTTTTAGACCATGTACAATTATGCAATTTTTAGTTTGTTAAAATGATTTTTAAGCTTGGAAAAATTTGGGGACAATTCTAGAAAGGCTAAAATTTGGGCTGCTCCTTGACCCAGGTTTCCTAAATGGTGCCCCAGATCAATTGCCTATAGTTAAGTAGATGGAGAAAGTGTAGCATGATTGTAAAGTTTCATAATAAGTCCACGGCATTATTAAGGAATGATGTAATGTTAGGTTCTTTTGATGTATTATGTATTCTTGGCAGGTCTCTTTAGCCATTTCCAATTTTGAACACTTTTGCTCTCTTGGTTTCTTTGTTTTCTTACTAATTGATTTTATTTGGGATAATAAAAAAGAACCAAAAAAAGCAGCTTAAAAATAATTTAATCCTTCTTTTTAGTTTTATGTTTTATCAATTTTAGTTTTGCTTTTTATTATTTATTTCTTCCTACTCTCTGTTGCGGGAAGTCAGGGACCCCGAACGGAGGGACCAGCTGAAGCCATGGCAGAAGAATGTGGATTGTGAAGATTTCATGGACATTTATTAGTTCCCCAAATTAATACTTTCATAATTTCTTACACCTGTTTTTACTGCAATCTCTGAACATAAATTGTGAAGATTTCATGGACACTTATCACTTCCCCAATCAATACCCTTGTGATTTCCTACGCCTGTCTTTACTTTAATCTCTTAATCCTGTCATCTTCATAAGCCTCAGGACCCTGTGATGGTTGTGTTAACTGCACAAATTGTTTGTAGAGCATGTGTGTTTGTTTGAACAATATGAAATCTGGGCACCTTGAGAAAAGAACAGGATAACAGCAATGTTCAGGGAACAAGAGAGATAACCTTAAACTCTGACTGCCGGTGACCCGGGTGAAACAGAGCCATATTTCTCTTCTTTCAAAGGCAAATGGGAGAATTGTCGCTGAATTCTTTTTCTCAGCAAGGAACATCCCTGAGAAAGAGAATGCATCCCTGAGGGTAGGCCTCTGAAATGGCCGCTTCGGGGGCAGCCGTCTTTTATGGTCGTAGTTGTAGGGATGAAATAAGCCCCAGTCTCCTGTAGTGCTCCCAGGCTAGTAGGATGAGGAAATTCCCGCCTAATAAATTTTGGTCAGACTGGTTGTCTGCTCTCAAACCCTGTCTCTTGATAAGATGTTATCAATGACAATGCGTGCCCGAAACTTCATTAGCAACTTTAAGTTCGCCCCGGTCCTGTGGTCCTGTGATCTCGCCCTGGCTCCATTTGCCTTGTGATATTCTATTACCTTGTGAAGCATGTGATCTCTGTGACCCACACCCTATTCGTACACTCCCTCCCCTTTTGAAAATCACTAATAAACACTTGCTGGTTTTGCGGCCTGGGGGGCATCATGGAACCTGCCAACATGTGATGTCTGCCCCAAGACACCCACCTTTAAAATTTCTCTCTTTTGTACTCTGTCCCTTTATTTCTCAGACCAGCCGACACTTAAGGAAAATAGAAAAGAACCTACATGAAATATCAGGGGTGAATTTTGCCTGATATCTGGCTGAATTTCCCCTGATAACTTTCTTTGGTTTTTAAACTTTTTTTAATTTGAGTATTTTCTTTAATATCTCTTCTTTAATGCTATAGTCATTTTGATGGTACATTTTGCTGTCTTTACATTCTGATAAGACAGTGTTTTCTGTTTGTTGTTTTCTAGATAATGAGTGATTTCAGTTTTTTATTTATTCTTTGACATTTTAGAAATATGTTTCTTAATTTTCAAAGAGTCAGAATGTTTGTGGTTAACACTAAAGTTCTTTTTCTAAATTTTGGGGGAACTAAGGTTATAGTTTTGGAACTTTATTAGTTATTTGGCTAAATAAAACAGTTTTTAAAGATTTAGGAAATTTTCACAGTGTCCTAAAAACATATATTTTATGATAGATTTATTAAATAGAGTTGTTGATTTTATTTGTTTAATTCCCCTATGTCCTTGCTTATTTTTACTTGCTAGTGCTGTCAGATTGTTAAATAGTTATTAAAATATTACCATTGTTCCCATTTAGCCTATTTTCATTGCATTTATAATACTTTTTGAATTAATGTTGAGCAAATATTATTATAATATTGTTTCAATGTTTATATATATTTCATAAATTAAGCATTGTATCAGTATATCATTTTTCTTTTTTACTATGTTTTGTGTTTTCATTGATTTTTGTCTTACTTATTTGGATAAAAGTTTTCTGTCTTCCATTGTCTACTTTTTAGCTTTGTCAATTTACACAGGTTTTGACAATGCCCACCCTCTCCTTCAATTCATCTCTAGAATATTTTTATTGCAAAACAATGTTTTCAATTCTTTGAAGGTTTTTTTTTTTATGCTGGAACTGAGCAAATGTCCTTGCTATTCTTTTTTTTTTTGTTCAAGTGATCAACTGTTTTTTCATACAGTTACATTCCACTTGGAGCAATTTTTATAGAAATGTTGTCTTCCTACTTCCATAATGTGGACTTCTTCATTGAGGATCATGTTTAGCAGCTGAGATAATTTACACAGAAGGGATCTTCTAAGTAAAGGCAGGACTAGCATCTGTCCCTATAGGCCAGCTGCTACAGACCTGAAAATTGTCATTCCTCTGTTAGGGCATCAGATGCAAAGGCTGTCACCCTCTAGCTCTCAAGATTCAGGCAGAATCTGCTGGCTTTTTAGCTCTCTGCAGCTCTCCTGTAGCCAGATCACCCCAGGATACTCATGAGGCTTAGCTACTCCTCCATTCAGGGCAAGATTGCAACTTACAGTTGTGTTTTGAAGGAAAATAAATACAGGCCAAATTCTTGCTTTTGCTCTGCTCCCCAAGCCTGAACACCAGCATTAGACTATGTACAGGGGCACCTAGTTTTTTATATAAAGAGCGCTTTCTGCTTAGCAAGCTGTCTGCCCAGAGGAGGGATTTTATTTTGAATCACCCATCGGAAATAAGCACCTTTTCCTAGTTTCCCAGAGGCAGTGTGTAGGCCAGTGAAGGCCCTCCCTTTGGCGTCTACAAATCTTCTTATACAAAATGTTCTCTCTTTCTCCCTCTCTGTCTGTCTGTCATGAATCATTACCCTGGAATTCTCAACTGCAAGTCTCCTGGCTCATTTTAGGATCCAGGACTGAAAGAAAAAAGGATGAGAATCCTTTACTAGCGCTAGCCATCCTGGACCCTCACAGTTTCAAAAGTCTTACTTGGGCCCTCCAGACCACTTCCTTGAGACTCTAGAGTCAGTTTAGCTCAGAAGAAGTAATTAATTATTAAATTGGAGTTGAATGGGTATGAACAACACAGACTCATTTAGGAAGCCGTTTTTGCAGCATCCTATAGAATCTCTCTGGATTTTGAATTCTTAAAGGCTGTTTAAGTATCAACTATGGCAGAGTATAAACTAAATAACATTCATTTCATGCATGCCAGACTCACCTGGCACGTCTCTTTTACTTGCTTTGTCAGTCTAGCCACTCCAACTTCTTTTAGTGCCTCCTCAAATATTCTGTGCTTCTTAAAGACCCAAAGGTCTTGATTCATGTAATCTGTTCCTTTTACATTGCTCTCCATACTGCATTTCTCAGACCAGGATACTCATTCCAGGTAGGCTTTCTTGAAGACCTCAGCCAGGTGAGGGCTGTGGACTAGGCCACCCTCTGCATTACACCTATCATAGCATCTGGTATGAGCATCCATCTCTTGCCCTAGATTGCAAGCTCCATGCAGACACAAGACCATATCTGTTCTATTTCTCCTTGTGTCTACAGCAACTAACTGAAACAGTGCTTAAACAGTAGAAACCAATGGGGTTTTTCGCATGACTAAAACCAGGAAGAAACCCAGGTGCTGCATGAAAGTTTTTCTAAGAGATCAAAAATCTCAAGAATATTTGAAGATAAAATTTGGTGGTTGTTAAGTGAAGGAATCTCATGCTAAACGTTCTTACATTAAGAAATGGCATTGCCCAACATATTGCTGTGAAAAAATTCAAACATACTGCCAAGTTAAACTTATAGTGATCATCCAATACGCCTAGTTTCTACCATTAGAATTTGGCATTGCTTGTTTTATTACAAATCTGTCCATCTACCTATTCCTATATCTATCTTTTAATTCATAATATTCAATAAATTGCAAAGTAAATTGCAGACTTAAGTACATTTCTCCTTAAATATTTCTATGTACATTATTAATTATAGTTAAAACTTTTTAATTTTTTTACTCTTTTGAAGTAATAATTCACAGACAATGAAATGCACAAATCTTAACTATTAATTTACTCAGTTTTTGATGAACGCACACACATGTCACACAAATACAATATCAACATATATAGATTATTATCACCTCAGAGAGTTACTGCATACCCTTTCTGAAAGTCATTTGTAAAAATAGTATAATACTACACTGCATTTTTCACTAAACTCTTATAAATTTAAATGAGTGATAAAGAAATACATAAAGATAGTAATACAACCAAGCAACACTACTATTGGACAATGTAATTTAATTTAGCTGAAATCTTAAAAAATTAAGAGAATGTATCCTTTATAATCTGTAATATGCTTTTTTTAGTGACTTCTTCCTCCATAATTATCTAAGTTCCTACTATTTTTGAGGATTTCACCTTAGTAGAAAAAGAAAGATATCCGTTTGAACTCTTTCAATACATGAATCAGGCTGATAGTCTCACCTCCTTTTAAGGAGGCTTTTGCGAATAGTGGATAGAGCATAGATTTTGGTGAATAATCTATTTTATCCAGGTGAATGACTTTAGTAAGTTATATAACTTTTTGATACATAGTTTCATTATTTGTAAAATGTAGAATATAATACTCACAGAATTTGGGGAGTGATTGAGAAGTAAGTGTCGATCATGAAATGAAATAATACACTATAAAACTGAAATCTAGTTCATTTTTCTCTTATCTTTGAGCTCCTTATATTTGGGTGCTTTATGTGTTAAAAGATTATAAAACAAAATTAATCTATGCTTAGGGCAATGGCAGGAAGAGAAAAATGAAGATGTTTTTAAGTTTTTTAACATAAGCACCAAAACCTATATTATTTTTACTATACCCTGAAGCCTTCTTAAAAAGAGGTAAGACTAAAAGTCTTATCTATTTATCTATCTATCTATCTATCTATCTATCTATCTATCTATCTACCTATCTATCTATCATCTCTCTATCTAAACAGAGTGTGTGTTTTTCAGGATACCTTCGATTTATACCACATAGGTACCTCTATGTATGACACTGCCAAATGATCCTCTAATTAAGTGCTTTGAATCTCAGAAAAGTTTGTTTTCAATTACTTCATAATGCTATTGTAGAAAAAAAGAAAAGAAAAAAAGAGTGGCTCTAGAGCAAGGTGGCTCAGAAATGATTCTCCAGAATGCTTGTCTTCGTATCTCTATCAACTACTACATGCGTAATAGTGGGCCAGTTACCACCATCCTGTGCCTCAAGTTGTTTTTTTTTAATGTGTAAAAGACAAGCAATAATATTTCTTACTTCATTGTGCTGTTGCATTGATATACTGTCTTTATGTAAGTTCTTAGAATACTACCTGGCATATAGTAAAGCCTCAATAACATGAGTTGTTATTATTAAAAACAGGCAGACATAGGTTGAAATATATCACTTATATTCTGTGTGACCTTGAACAAGTTACTTCTCTGAGATTGTTAACATATTAGTACACATAATTAACAAAATATGAAATAATAATATTTGGAGGACAGTGTCACATAGTCAGTGACTAATAATTGTTTTTGTTGCACTTTTCTGTTTTAAATCAAGATTTTATCTTGATTGAAAATTAGATTTTTCAAACACATTGATGCCTACAATGACTGTTTCACCAGCTACTGAAGACCAGAATTTTGGGAACCTTTGCCCCAGAGAAACCATAAACACTGGCCAGAGAGAATTAAATTAAGAAATGTTAGATCACATTTAATTCTACTGCATTAGCATTAATTTTGCCATATCTTTTTAGAAAAATGCTGGGGATTAGATGCATTATTACATTTATTATTCTAATTATTATTATTGTTGTTTGTTGGGTTCTTGAGAGTGCTTTTATTTCCCTTCTTACTTTTCATATAATAAATGGCTTTGGAGTTTACCTTACATGATGGGTATATTTTTAAAATATTATATCTTTGTTTTTATAATTCTATTTAAAATTATTTTGTTATAGATGATACAATTTCTTTTCTATAATGTTCTATGTGTAGCTAATATTATTTGCCAATTTTGACAAAACTGTAAAATTACTGTCTTATACTTTTGCTACTAGTGTCTATTACAAATAGATTTTTAAACTGAGATTTTTTAAAAAGGAAAAAAATAAAGAGCATTTTTAATGTTTTCTGTGCACATTTGCAATGTGAAATCACTTGTAACAGACCCATACGACAAATTAGCAGATCTTTATTTTGCCAGGTTTCTGACCAAGTCAATGTGACAGTGTATGGGAAACCATACCAATTAACAGGCCTGAGCAAGCTCCTCATTTGACAAACATTTAATATGCAATAAAATAGGAACTTGGAAGTACTGAAACTCACTGATGGAAAAAAAGAGAGAGAGGAGCTCTGTTGCTTATCTGGAATAAAGATGAAACTTAATTAAGCTAACAAGATGCAAGCTATAAAATATATTTTTTCTTTTCAGGGTTGAGCTGAATTTTACTTTAACAGGCAACTATGAGAGGTCATCTCATCCTTCCTTCCCTTCCCAGTCTACATTAAAGCACAACCGTGGAGTCCACTGCCTGCTTTCTTTCTGAGAAGCAGTCATTCTTATTGGGAATGATTATGTTAGAATATAACTTTTTGTTTAAAATTCTATTGAAGACATCCTATTTCAAGACATAGTTTTGAACTTTTGCAAATTTCTAGTGACTATCATTTACTAACTGCAAGGGCTGGCCATGTCTATGCCTCTTGCTGCCTTCTTCCTGGTAGATTGGTGTGTATCTAAGAGTCTCTCAGGCAGCTCACTAAACTTGAAATTGATTCACACCATTTGTGTATTCTCCAGGCATTTCTTTATTAATAAGCCCTTCCCACTTTGCTTTGTCATTCAATAAAAAGATTATGCTTCAGTCAGTAATTTAAAAAATTATCAAAACCCATGTTTCTTGAATAATAATATCAATATTTTAGGAAATTTTTAATTTACATGTTGTCCATATTTATTTTATTTGCAACTGGTATACATTTAAAAAACTTATTACAGACAATATGAACTGACAAGACAAAGTAGAAGCTCATTATTCATATTAAAATTTATTATCTATTAAATAGCTATACATAGCATTTTTATCATAAGATTTAATGCATCTTAAATATGAATCAATTAATTTTCAATTTTAAATATTTTATGAATGTTGATATTTTATAACTGAATTCAGTTGTAATCTCTATTTTTTAAAGTTAATAAAGTGACATTAAAGGCACTAAATCAAGCCAAGATTAATCAATGTGGGGCTTTTAAACTAATTCAGAATGAATTTATTTATTCAAACATACGTTATTATATATTACCCAATTCATACAACTTTTAATTGAAAAATTCATTGAGCACAGACTCTAAATCAGGCATTTTATTAAGCCTCGGGTACAGAAGGTAACAAATAGATATGGCCATTGTACTCTTCATGCTAAGAAAGGAATATAAGAAAATAATCAGAAGTAGCATCTGTAAGCTCAGAGTTTAAGGTCATGATCTTTGTTTTTCTACTGTGTTTGGCTTACATTAATTTGATTTTGAAAGGCCGCTTATAATCTGTGAAGTACATTTTGTATACAGACTCTATACAGTTCAAAAGAAAGAAAATAATATTGTAATTAGCAGTGTCATTAACAAGAACAGCAGACTATAAATGCCTTTTTTATACATTACAAAAAATTATCAGTTGACATATTTTGATATTTAGACAGTCTTTAGATACCTTTCATATGCCACAGAGTGTTCTCATAGCCTTCTTGTTGAAAAGGCTTTATGCTTTTTATTGATATTCCAGGTGCAAAGCTGATCTAAAATTCATTAATATTAAGATGAGAGAAACTATATTGCCAAAAATCAAGGCGGTATTACGTTTTAAAGACAAGAAATTCCCTTTGCAATGAATTGGGAATAATCTCAGAGCAAAGGACTCCCAATTAAACATTATTCTTTTGTAAAGAATATGTCTTCATTTACCTTGATAAGTTGATGGTAATCACTAAAACTGCAAGAAATTATCTATTTAGGACAGCACTAGGAATTTGAAATAAAAAATTTTAGAATTATGAATACATTCTCTAATACTAAAAAAAGATAAACTGTATCATTGGTATGTAGATTGACTTTTTTTTCCACTTTTGTTTCTGTTATTCCACTTTCTGCTTTAGATTCTTTTATGTACCAACCTCTGATATGCTTATTCATGTTTGCTAATATTAAATTTAAAACAATTTTCTCTACATGGGAGGCATTAGTAATGCTATCAGGAAGAAAAAAGAGAAAAGAGGGAGAAAAAAGAAAGAAGTAAGTTCTAAGATCTTTCTGTTTGTGTGTGTGTGTGTGTGTGTGTGTGTGTGATATAGTGGCACATAAAATAGAAACAAAGTCACAATAAGCCTACAATAATCTAAAAATTTATGCAGACTTTGGTGATTGGGTTGATATAGGTATTTGGCAGGATCAGTTTCCAAGACAACAGTCCACAAGACCTTGCTGTAAGACAGGAGAAGGTAAAAGAAACCAGCTAAGACCAGCTAGAACCAAGATAGTACTGCCATTGCTCATTAAATGCTAATTGTAATACATTAAAATACTAAAAAAAAAAAACCTCCCACCAGCCCATGACAGTTTACAAATGCCATAGTGATATTCAGAAGTTACTCTGTATTATCTGGACAGAGATAAAATCTGGGTTCCAGGTGCTTCTTGCTGCTTTCCCAGAAAAACGCATGCCTAATTCACCCCATATTCAACATATGATCCAGAAGTAATCATAGATATAATCAGCGAGCAGCCCAGAGGGGCGGCTCTGCCTATAGAGTATCATCCTTTTGTTTCTTTGCTCTTCCAACAAACTTGCTTTCAATTTTATCTATCAGCACTCTCTAGAATTGTTTTCTATGTGAAGCCAAGGACCCACCCAGACTACTGGGTTGAACCCCAATTTGGGGGTTTGCCCTGCAACATACTCTTGGTGCCCAACATGAGGCAAGATGAGGAAAGACCTTCACCCAGACCCCAAATTAAGAACAATCAGCTCCATTTGGCCACCACAGATGGGTGAGTGTCCTCTTCGTTCCCCCTTGACATCAAACTCTTTGCTCTGATATTCCTTTCTCTTTCACTCTCTTCTCTCCTTCTTTACCTTTCTGGGTGGACCAGGCAATGGGAACAGGGTATCTGGCTTCATAGTCAGTTCACTGTTCCTCCTTCTGTTGTCTGGGTGCTTCAGATGGGAGCATGCCTGGCCAGCCATGTCATTTATAACCTACCTTGCTCCTCCTCTCGGACATTTTCTCTTTCCAATAACTGGCTGTTTTACTTTTCCGCTCTTAGGGACAAAATGCATGCTTGCGGTTGTCGTCACACTTGTAATCTTTGCCTATTTGGGCAACTGTTTTTATTCTGTGTAAGGCAAGACACTTTCTTTGTTTGTCAGAGGTCCCCCATTGTTCTGACTCTGGGTTGTCAGAGTCACATTGTTCTGTGGCCCCAATTGTGCCTTTGGTGTTCACTGTTGGGCACCTTCTGGATGTTCCAGGGCTTTCAGCATGTGATGTGGGGAGCTTCGTTGGCTGATACCTGGATGCTCCAGGTCTTTCAGTATTTGGTGCCCTGGATACGTATCGGGTGATTGTGTTGACAGCAAGTCCGAATTTGTTTTATTTTTACTGGAGACTGTGGAACCACACTGCATCGTTTGTCAGTGTTGTTCTTGATATTTTTCCCTATGCTGACTATTTTCAGGACTTTTTTTTCAGTCTGTTCTGAAGTTAGAAGTTACTATTTTCTGCAGTAACCAGCTGACTACCCGGCTGTTTGCTCTGCCATTGCAGATTGCCACTGGAAAGAATCGTATCAAAAGGATTTGCTTCTAATTTATTACTACCATTCTCTTAATCAATGGTGTATGCTTACGACTCTAAAACTCCAACTTTACCTCTGGTTTCTAAAATGGGCAGGAACCTTAATCTATTTACCCTGCTTGGAGACCTGGAGCCTCCACTTTCTTGTCGGAAGTTTCAGCCTGCTGGCATTCTGGTCATTATTATTGCTGCCAACTTTCCCTCTTTTGCTCATAACCGAGACGCTTTCTTCACTCTTTGTGGAATTCAGACCATAGTTGCTCCTTGGGTCCTCACTGCTATATCTGCACTGAAAACTCTGATTTTGGTCACCCTATTTTCACTTCACCCTCTATACTGTTCTTGTTCAAACAACTCTTGTCACATTCTGTATACTGGTGTACACAGTCATCATTCCTCTGCTCACTGGTATCTCATCATCCACTTTCATCACACTCTGCTAAGTATACCTGTGCCCTCTCTGCAGGAATTGGTAGTAATAGCTTTACTGACTTTTATTGAGGAAAACAGGAGGTGGAAATTTGAAAGAGAAAACAGCTGGGCTCTCACTAAACTCGGAACAATCCCTGTGTTTAGTAAAATTCCTTGTCAAAAATGAACAACAGCTACCATTTTGAAGGACTCATAACTAGAGTGCCTTTTAGGCAACTGGAATAAATTCAAATGCGATGGTCAAAGGAAAAATAAACTTACTCTCTAGGCGAATATTCCCTGGGTCCATTACAAACTGAAAGACCAGGAAGTTTGGCCTGAAAATGGTTCTTTGCACTATAACACTACTTTACAATTGGACTTCCGTAAAGGAGAACAAAAATGGGGAGAGGTCCCTTATGTTCAGGCTTTTATGGCCTTCTACCAAGATCCTGACTTGAGGGACACATGTAGAATGTGTCTGGCTCATGTTATGTCCAGGCACCAAGAAACTGTGCTGGACATCCTGGGTGATCCCCTCCTATGCTGCTCCATATCCCCTGCTTGATATCCCCTATCAAGTATTGTTCAATCTCCCTACTACATTTAAACTTCAGGGAATCACTAGAGGGGTACGACTGTCCAGAGTTAAACCTGTTTCTTATGAGTCCCTGCACACACCAGAAGAAAACACAATGACCTACACTTGTGAACCTCTAGAAGACTTGAAAAGCTGTTGTGTCATTCTCAGTTCCCCCTACTAACAACGATATTTTTTTCCTTTCCCTCTTAGACATTGCTACACATAACATTCTCTACCCCAGTTATTTACTAGACACTCCAAAAACTCTGGCAAGAGGACAAAATTTCTGTCGAAGTTGGATATATTTTTACATCCTGGTAGAGGTAGAGTCATCCTTTCAGGCCATACCTTCCCAGCCACCTAATGTCTACAAGCTTCAGCACTACCTACCAAGTAAATCCTACACATATTTGTCCTCATGATACCACCAATTACAACTCTTCTTACTCCCCTTGGAGGATCTTAGTCCCTCTACAGACCACTGTGTCTTTCTCAACTCCCATAGCTGCTTCCTGTGATAATAGCATTGCTTTAAATTACTACTTTCTCCGCCAAATTCTTATCCTATTCATGCTTAAATCTAAGCACCCCTTGATAACACAAGTACTCAACTTTCTTAACAACTCTCATCCCATACGAGGTTTACACCTTCAATGGATACCTATAGCTATAGGGACACCTATCCAATCAGCCTATAACTTGTCTTTCATTTGAAATCATAAAACATATGGTTACCAATGTATTGACAATGTTTGGTTCAGGGGTCAACATACAATAACAAAGACAAAGCCTTCTAATATACAATTATTTAACATTACTCACCCGAGAGCTAAGTGGGCAACTGTTCCTATGTTGGCTGGAGTTAAGGCTGCTGTCAGCTGGTTGGCCCCATGGGGAGGATTTGCCTATCACAAGGCAACTCTTCAAAACTTTACTTCTTCACTCTACATGTTGTCTCATAGAATGGGGGGATGTTCAGATAAATTGAGACACTCCCTTGATTCCTTAGCAGATGTACTAATGAGTAAGATTAGTATTGGACTATCTGTTGTTGGAATGAGGAGAGGTATGTACTATGATTAATAAAAACCTCAAGTCAAATAGAGGAAGATATCAGCAAGATATAGAAAAACAAATTACCTGGCTACATGGAATTCTCATCCCCAATACCCAGACCTTATGGAATTCAATAAAAGGACTTCTACCTCAGTCAGTTGGTTTCTACACTTCCTGGAACCTTTAATATATATCTTGTTATTACTAATATTTGGCCTTTGCTTATTTAACCTCCTTGTAAAGTTTGTGTCTTCTAGATTACAATGATTTCATGTAAAGAAGATGCTGGCACAAGGCTTCCAACCCATCCCATCTTCTGACCTGGGAAATAGACACCCTCTCTTTGGACCCCTTAGATTAGGCATGCAGACATTTTTATTGCTCCAACAGGAGGCAAAGCCTACACCTATAAAATCAGCAGGAGGCAGTTACATTGGATAGAACTTTGTTCTTCTACAACCCCTTAAAATTAAAAAAGAATATATAATCTCTGAGCAGGAACTGGGATGGGTATTTGGCAGGACTAGTTTCCAAGACAACAGTCCAAAAGAACCAGCTGATAAGACAGGAGACAATAAACAACAGGTCACAAGACTCCACTGATAAGACAGGAGATAGTAAAAGAGACCAGCTAAAACCAGCTAGAACCAACATGGTGATGAACGGGACTTCTAGTTACATTTACTGCTCATTATATGCTAATTATAATGCATTACCATGCTAAAAAACACTTCTACCAGCACCAGGACAGTTTACAAATGCCATGGCAATGACCGGAAGTTACCCCATATAGTCTGGATGGGGAGAAAACCCCGGTTTTGGGAGATCCCCACCCCTTTCCTGGAAAACTCATGCATAATCTACTTCTCATTAAGCATATAATCAAGAAATAAACACAAATATAACCAGTGAGTAGCACAGGGGTTCTGCTCTGCCTGTGGAGTAGCTTTCTTTTTGTTCCATTCTTCTTCCAATAAACTTGCTTTTGCTTTATGCTCAGTCTTGAATTCTTTCCTGAACAAAACCAAGGACCCACTTGGTCTCTCAGGCCAAACCCCAATTTTGAGATTTTCCCTGAGACAAGGTTACCAGTTCACTGCAGTCAGAAATACTAATGCTAATCTGGGTCAGCATGAAAAATCCCCTGAGCTATAAAGAATATTTTTCTTATCAGACTGTTCACCATACAGCAAACTTGGGTGTTTAGTAGCCATTTTAATATAATAATGCTACAAGATTGCCCACATAAACTGATTTATCATTGGAACAGGCTTTTGTGTAGCCAACCAAGTTTCATCTGCATTAGTGACTAAGCATGATCTACTGCATAATACGTTATTGATACATTTCTGGTTAAACAGAAAAATAACATTAGATTAGAGGGTTATATCTGGGCATACTAGAGTTTTTCACTTTTATCAGTATATTCAATTATTGTTAGAGGTGGTCAAAAATTATGCTCTGCTTCAGATCTACCTTGGAGAGTTACCTTTCTATCTTAATTGAGATGAAAAACAATATAAATTTTTATTATTAGACACAGTTTATGTTATACAAAACAATACAAAAATATTATACTCACTGTTTACATGCAGTTTTATATTGAAGTATTAAATGATAACACTTAAAAACCCAAGTGTCTGAGCAATGGCTTCAAATATTTAGAATAACAAATGGAAATAAGAATATTTAGGAAAATGTTTTTGAGCAATGCATTTGTGTCATCAACTATCACAGGCCATCTGAATTGGATTCCCACGTATTTTCCAAATTTATTAATGACTAAAGAATATTAATTGCAAAGATAATTAACTATTATAGAATAAAATTCTGGGAAACATGCAATTTGATTACTTCTACTTAATAAGTGAACAATTATTTATTTTGAACTTGTTTTAATGAAATGAAGTTACACGCCCTGGATTTCACATTTAAGTTATTAGTAATCATAGCCCCTGGTTTGTAGGCGGTTTTCCTGAGAATGGGTGAGCACACACATGCACACAGAAAAACGGATAGTTTATAAAAAGACATTTTAATAGGTTAAATAGTATGATTGAAACATCACAACAGCAGAGACAGGAAGGCAAAAGAGTTTATGTTTTGAGGCTATTGTGCTGAGCTCGCAAGACCTTCGAGCAAAGTAAGCAAACATTTTCCTTTTGTAATTAATTTGAATAGTCTAAAATTTAAACAAAGCTAGAGTCGAAGACACATCCCTCAGCCAAATCCTGTTAAAAGACTTTAGAGTGGGTTTGATTTAAAGTACTGGCAAGAATATTTCCATACACAGGTAGTACATACATATAATAACAGTATATAATAATCATCACCATAAAACAGGACAATGTATTGCCTTTTACCTTCCTTATTTCAAAACTCTGTCCCACACAACAGTCTCTCCAGGCCTTAGTCAATTTATCATGTGGTCAAATTGGCAAAAATAATGCCTAAGATACTGCCCAACAGACTTATTTTAATCATTAAAGGACTTATAAAACAATTTTTAATTGCAAAGTCCTTTATAGATATAAGATACTTTTTGTTTTTTATATTTATTTTATATTTAGTTTTTCTTGCCAGTTTATAATATTTTTATTGTATATTTGGCTAAATGAACCCAGGATGGTTTAAAAATTGACCCCAAGGGTAAGCTTTTTACCTAATAGCTTGACTTTAAAAATTAACCAGGGAATTTTAGAAGTGTCTTTAAAACATGTTCTCTGTAACACCTGCAAATTTGTTATCTAAAGTAATAGGCATTGAAATCTGTGAATATTATATTATTCATTAAAAATCTCAAAAAACACTGGAAAACCTTATAGACTTGAAAAAAAAAAACCTATTAAATCCCGGAGAAATCTGACTTATAACCTTTATTTTGGTAAGAATAATAGTGTTTTAAAATAAAATGTAATTTTTCTCATTAAATAAAATGAAATATTTATAACATGCTATGAATAATCATATTTCCTGAGAAATATGCAGCAAACAAACCTTATGCCGATTTATCAGTGTGCTAAGGCTGCTGTAACAAAGCACCATGAGCTGACTGGTTTAAAAATAAATTTATCGTCTCATAGTCCCAGATGCTAGAAGCCCAAAACTAAGGCGTTGGCAGGGTTGATTCCTTCTTAGGACTGTGAGGGAGACAGAATCTCTTCCATGCCTCTTGCCTAGCTTCTGGTGGTTTGCTGGCAGTCCTTGGCATTGCGTGGCTTGCAGAACCTTCATTCTGATCTCTGCCTTCATCTTCACGTGGTTTCTCTCTGTGTGTATGTCTGCTTCCAGATTTTTCCTTTTTATAAGGATACCGGTCAGATTAAAGCCCACTCTAATGAACTCACTTTAATTTGATTACTTCTGTCAAGATCCCTGCCTTCATAATAAAGTCACATTCTGAGGTACTAGGAGTTAGAACTTCAACATATAAATGTTTTAGTTGGTGGGGTGGGTAGGGAGGAACACAACGATAAAATCATTTAAAATAAATTACCAAAATCTATTTATTTAGCTGTAAAAAAGATCATGGGTTGGCAAGTATAGAAATTCTAAAAATTCATTTTGCCATTTTTTTCTGAAATGATTATTTCATTTATTTTAAAATATCTTTGATCATTTACTTTATATGGTAAGTTTTGGGGCTATTCATTTTTATCAGTGGCAAAAACAAAAATATTTTTACCCTTATAGCACGTAGAGTATGGCAGAAAGTTTGTTGTAATTTTGTAACTTTGAAGTTTTGCTTGAAATTGAGAAATATGTACTAATTTTAATGACTTTAAGATATTGATGCAGGAGATTAATAACCATACTCTCACAGAGGGCTTTAGTACACATGCTGTTTAAGAGAATTTTATTTCGTAGGGCACCAAATAAGGAAGAATTTTCTGTAACAATTTATTTTTAGATATGGCTATTCTTCCCGTGCTTTTATATTTGTATTTTATAAGTTTTTTTCCCTTACAAATTGAGATTAGAAAAAAATATGACTTCCTAGATTATATTTTAAGCCATTGCATTATAATGTTTTGTTGAAACTTACTATCTGAACTGACTCTCAGGCACTTAGTCTTAAACCTGGAAAACAAATATGGAATGTGTTTTTAATTCCCTCATGAAGTCTTTATGATATTTCTATTCCTGCCTTTATGAAGCTTTCCAAGATATATTTCACCTCTCAGGCAATGATGGAACTCTTAATATTTCCTTCTATTGCTAACGCTGAGGCGAGATGAGGTGCAGTAAGCTGGGCTGCCTGGGGAAATAGCATCATAAAACATGGAGGCTCAACTCATGTTCTAGTCTGTGGTATTTTGAAAGACTCTGTTATTATAGCACAACAGAGTTGTACTTAACACAATATTGAAATTCATAGACACAAAGGCAAGAATGTAAAAAACAGTACACTGGAGGATAGAGATGTTTCACTTTATGTATAAGCCTTACCCATACTTAAATATCATCTTTTTTTCTTTCTTAGTCTTCAGACAAATATTTTGAATGACAGAACAATTAGAAAGAAGCCAGAATGCAGTACCTATATCTGTCACTATAACTGCACCCTGGCAGACAAAAATTCCCTGCTGATTTTGCTGTAATGTGTTATAGGAGAAACAAGCTAAATCTTAATCTAGTTTTCTTGCAATGTAGCAGCACACTGGAAGAAATGCTTTCTTCATCCTGCTATGAAAGTTGCATTTTTCCCTTCTATATGATAGAATTTTGATGGATAAAGTCTACTTAGTTTGTTACAGAAAGTTTCTATTAAAAAAAACAATGTGGGATGGCTGACACAGGAAACTACATGCTGCACAGTGGACTGAGCGAAATTGACTGGGAGTATCCAGATAATTTCAGAGGAAATGAAGACCAGTTCTACAGGACCATGAAAATACCAGTGATCTCCCTGGATCACCAGTCTCAGCCCAATTTCCAAAGGCAGTTGTTCCATTGGCTGTTATTGCTTCAGTGATTCCAAAGAATATTTTTATCAGCTTACATAACATTCTGACAGCCCTGTATACTGAGTTATGTAAAACATCTTTGTACAAATATATAACACATAACTCTCTATCAATTGGAACAAAAATGAAAGTCAGCATTCTTGTAGGAACTACATTAGTAGATACAAACTCAGAAACTTATGGCTTCAGGAAATACGATAAAATGGCTCTTTTTTGTGCCTTAATTAGCTGATTCGAATTTGTCATGGGTTTTGAGGGAAAAAGTTATTTTCTTCATTTATGACAAACATGTTCCTTTACCATTTGTCATCATCATAATAAATTAAAATCAGTTCGCTTTTATTATTGAAAGGCTAAAGGTAACATTTTTAGACATAGCACAAGAGCTATGGGTGGGAATATTGTTCATTAGACATCAGTGTACACAATGAACATTTTGACCCTGCCAGTTGGATGCCTACAGCTAGAGATTTTCCCAGTCATCCAATTAAGAAGGTAGCAACTGTTTATAATTATGCATATCTGATGCCTCACCAACCCCTTTATTCTTTAGATGAAAATATTTGTTGTCTTGATATCTCTCTATTGCTTTGAATTGAATGAGCTTTTATGTTATAGACTTGATCAATATTTCCTACCCTTTTCCACAAAATGGAAAATAGAATTTCCAGGCACTTTATTGTACTGCAGAGGTCTCAACCATCAGCTGCAGCAAGAACATTAGTGTTCAGTTAATTGCTACAGATGGCCACAGCACTGATTTTACCATTTCATTCAGCTGAGGTCTAGAGACTAGGCCTGGAATGCAGATGTCAGACCAGAGACTTTGCTGTTATTTACTGGTATGGCTTTCAAATACCATTCTCTCGCTCTTTCTTTCTGTATGTGTGTGTCTCACTGCTCTTTTATAAATTTAAAACAAAGAATTTAAGAAATTTATATGCTTAAAGAAATAGATGTTGTTCATATACTGAACAATATTTTTAAATATGCGTTTTTATATATCACTATGTTTCTGTTTCAGAATGTTCTAGGTAAAATAGTGAAACAAATGCATACTTTCAGAATATTCTAGGTAAAATAAAACCAAGTCAAGCACTTACAACTTAAAAACACTATGAGGAGCAGTGAAGGAAATCAAGTTATAAGAGGGGTGGCCCCTGTTTATTGGAAGGACATACCGTAATGTGAAGATTAGGGGTATATACTTAAAGAGCAGTACAATTTTTCAAAAAAATTACTTAACATTTAGAAACTTTAATGCAAAATGAAAAGAGAAAAGGATGATATATGGCAGAAAGTCACCTAGGAAAAGTGCTAAAAAACAGAAGGAGAAATACCAATTTGGCCTAAAGTGAAATACAATGATTCAATAGAAAAGAGAGATTTGGGCCGGGTGCGGTGGCTCACGCCTGTAATCCCAGCACTTTGGGAGGCTGGGAGGCCAGGGTGGGTGGATCATGATGTCAGGAGACCGAGGCCGTCCTGGCCAACATAGTGAAACTCTGTTTCTACTAAAAATACAAAAATTAGCTGGGCATGGTGGCGCATGCCTGTAATCCCAGCTACTTGGGAGGCTGAGGCAGGAGAATTGCTTGAACCACGGAGTCGGAGGTTGCAGTGAGCTGAGATCACGCCATTGCACTCCAACCTGGCGACAGAGTGAGACTCCAACTCAAAATAAATAAATAAATAAATAAATAAAATAAAGATTTTGAATAAAAGATGAAGAACAGAGGATAAACTTTGCAGGAGCAGAAACAGGATGGCAAACCCACGAGATTTGTGAGGATGATGAGTAGCATCACAACTTTTCAGGAACTGGTAGTTAATGGCTTATGAGCAAAAACCAGAAAGTTTTGTTCTTGCTAAATTTAAGAGGTTTGAAGTTCTACCTCGGGAATTTAAAGTTTTTCCTTGTTAGTGATTCACTGAAAGTATGGAGAAAATTGAAACAGAGAAAGAGGGCAGAGAGTGGGAGGTCTAAAGAGAGAGACTATAAATTTATGATTTATAAATATATTTATTTTATTTAGAAATATTATTTGTTTGGTTCAATCATCTATATTAGGGATTGGCAAATTTTTTCTGTAAAGGGCCAGGTAGTAAATATTTCAGGATTTGAAGGCCATATGACCTCTGTCACAATTATTTAACTCTGCCACTGTAGCATGAAAACAGCCACAGGCAATACAAAGTGAATGGGTATGGGTATATTCAATAAAAATAGTTTTTATGGACACTAATATTTTAATTTTATAAAATTTTCATGTGTTTCAAAATATTTTCTTTTTCTTGTGATTTCAACAATTAAAACATTTTAAAATTATTTTTAACTCACAGGCTATACAAAAAGGGGCAGTAGACTATAATTTGTCTGCCTCAAGCTAAACAATAAAATGTTTCTGCTCCATTATATCTCCCATAGTAACTATGCTTTTTAATGAAAATAGCTTCTTATTTTGTAATAAAAGTTTTTTAAAAGTGGTAGGTGTATATATTTATAGGGTGTGTGGGATATTTTGATATAGTCATACCATGTGTAATAATCACAACGGGATAAATGGGCTAAGCAACACCTCAAGCAATCATCCTTTGTGTTACAAACAATCTAATTATACTCTTTTGGTTACTCTAAAATGTTCAATAAATTATTGGTGGCTAAAGTCACCATGCTATGTTATCAAATACTAGATCATATTCATTCTACCTAACTGTATTTTTGCACCCATTAACTCTCCCCATTTTTCCCCTGACCACTATCCTTCTCAGCCTCTGGTAACCATCATTCTCTTCTCTATCTCCATGAGTTCAATTGTTTTCATTTTTTAGGTTCCTCAAATAAATGAGAACATCTTAACCCAGATAAAATGGATTTCATCCAAAAGACAGGCAATAACAAATGCAGACAAGGATGTGGAGAAATGGAACCCTTGAACACTGATGATGGGAATGTAAATTAGTACAACCACTGTGGAGAAAATTAATTTCTTTCAATTCTAATTTGATTTAAGTAATTCCTGGACAATCTTTATATAATTATTATTTATTAAACTGCTGTTTTCTATGTTACATACAGCCTAGGTATAAACACACTTGCAATGGATGTATATTTCACTTAGGAAAAATCATTCAGAGTGAGTTAGGTGTAATGTGGGCAATACCACATTTAACTTCTTCTTAGAATATAGGTTAGCTTTGAATCATTACTGGCATAAGTAATTGCAGTCGAATAGATTACAATTTTTTGATATAATGTGCAATAAAAAAAGAGTCATCCTCATGTCACTACCATTTACAATATAGTTATAAGTAGGAGATCACTTTTTGATTCCTCACATCATTCAATACAGAAAATATAAAATAATTTAGTTAAAAAATAAATGGTTCATGAATCAATAGATCCAAACACTCATACAAATAACTCAGCTTCTACTAATCTCATGGGAGTATGCTGCTGAGGTATTGAAAGCTCTCTCATCCCAGACCACTTTCTCTGGCTCTCTAATGTCAATCTAGGTAGTTGATTGCATCTTAACCAAACCACTCCCATTGGGGCTGTTCCACTTGCTAGTTGTCTGACGGTGGATGAGTTGCTAAAACCAAGTTTCGTTTCTTCATATATAGGATGGAAATGACAGTGGAAATTACAATTATGTGACTCAATAATAGTTTTAAGAATTAAATGAGATAACACCTGCACCGTGCAAGGCACAGTATCCCATATATGGCAAACATCTAATAACTGCTCCCTGTTACTGCTTTTATTCCACTGTTGCCAACAGAAATCTACATTGATCCTCCTCATGTACCCCAATTAACTGCTCTGGATGCTCCTGTACTGTTTATTCTCTGCATCTGGAAATGAATCTTTGAAGCCCAAATGCTTCAGAAAAGTGCTATTTTAAAATAAGTAGCAGTAAAAGTGTAGTTATTATTTGCTTATGCTCTTACAGCAAATAAAAATTTACATGGGACTTACAGGATCAGGAGAACCAATGACACAATGACCAGTACAACAGAGCTATGACTTGACCCCAAGATCCATGTGTACACACCCTGGGATCAAGTCATAGCTCTGCTATTTAAAATGTTACTTTCTCAATTTTCTTATTTTATAAATGACAATGTCGACAATAATTTCCATGTCTCTCTAGTGAAGAAATGAAAATTATTTGTTAAGGTTTCATCAGTGCTTATTGCTTTGTAGCTGAAGGTTAGTTTTAAACCTTTCCATTGGGCTAGCTCCTTCCTCCCTAGAGCAAGTGAGTTTACTTTTCCACCTATGAGTATGATACTTTTTACAAAAGGTAACTATATCAAACACTTTTTTTTTTTACAGTCTTGCTCTGTCACCCAGGCTGGAGTGCAATGGCACAATCTCGCCTCACTGCAACCTCCGCCTCCTGGGTTCAAGCGATTCTCGTGCCTCAGCCACCCGAGTAACCAGGATTACTAGCGCCTGCCACCATGCTTGGCTAATTTTTTGTATTTTTAGTAGAGACGGAGTTTTGCCATGTTGGCCAGGCTAGTCTCGATCTCCTGAACTCAGGCAATTCACCTGCCTTGGCTTCCCACACTGCTAGGATCAATAAACGCTTCTTACTTACATAAAAGGATATACGTGTGACTACTAAAATATTACAGAAATCTATATGTGCATCTGTGTATATTTATATGTATGTGTATGAGAAAGGAAAGTATTCTTAGGGCCCCAAAATCACTAATCTACATGGAAAAGTCAATCTGGGAACTGCTTAGGGCAAACCGGCCTCCCATTCTACTCAGTTATCCCTGTGCTCACTGAAATAAATGTATATCTGATTGCCTTCTTTGGAAAGTCTAATCAGAAAAAAAGAATGCAACTATTTTTGTCTTATCTACCTATGACCTGGAAGCCTCCTCCGTGTTTTGAGTTGTCCTGTCTTTGCTTAGAGTTGTCCCGCCATTCCGGGCCAAACCAATGTTCATCCTACACGTACTGATTGATGTCTCATGTCTTCCTAAAATGTGTAAAATCAAGATGTGTTCAAACCAGCTTGGGGACATGTTGTCAGGACCACCTGAGGCTGTGTCATGGGTGCACTTCCTCAACCTTGGCAAAATAAACTTCCTTTTTTTAATTTTTTTAAATTATACTTTAAGTTCTAGGGTACATGTGCACAAAGTGCAGGTTTGTTACATATGTATACATGTGCCATGTTGGTGTGCTGCACCCATTAACTCGTTATTTACATTAGGTATATCTCCTAATGCTATCCCTCCCCACTCCCCCGACCCCATGACAGGCCCCAGTGCATGATGTTCCCCACCATGTGTCCAAGTGTTCTCATTGTTCAATTCCCACCTATCAGTGAGAACATGCAGTGTTTGGTTTTCTGTCCTTGCGATAGTTTGCTGAGAATGATGGCTTCCAGCTTCATCCATGTCCCTACAAAGGATATGAACTCATCCTTTTTTTATGGCTGCATAGTATTCCATAGTGTATATGTGCCACATTTTCTTAATCCAGTCTATAATTGGTGGACATTTGGGTTGGTTCCAAGTCTTTGCTATTGTGAATAGTGCCGCAATAAACATACGTGTGCATGTGTCTTTATAGCAGCATGATTTATAATCCTTTGGGTATATACCCAATAATGGGATGGCTGGGTCAAAGGGTATTTCTAGTTCTAGATCTTGAGGAATCGCCATACCATCTTCCACAATGGTTGAACTAGTTTACAGTCCCACCAACAGTGTAAAAGTGTTCCTATTTCTCCATGTCCTCTCCAGCACCTGTTGTTTCCTGACTTTTTAATGATCGCCATTCTAACAGGTGTGAGATGGTATCTCATTGTGGTTTTGATTTGCATTTCTCTGATGGCCAGTGATGATGAGCATTTTTTCATGTGTCTGTTGGCTGCATACATGTCTTTATTTGAGAATTGTCTGTTCATATCCTTCGCCCACTTTTTGATGGAGTTGTTTGATTTTTTCTTGTAAATTTTTTTAAGTTCTTTGTAGATTCTGGATATTAGCCCTTTGTCAGATGGGGAGATTGCAAAAATTTTCTCCCATTCTGCCTGTTCACTCTGATGGTAGTTTCTTTTGCTGTGCAGAAGCTCTTTAGTTTAATTAGATTCCATTTGTCAATTTTGGCTTTTGTTGCCATTGCTTTGCTGTTTTAGTCATGAAGTCCTTGACCATGCCTATGTCCTGAATGGTATTGCCTAGGTTTTCTTCTAGGGTTTTTATGGTTTTAGGTTTAACATTTAAGTCTTTAATCCATCTTGAATTAATTTTCTTATAAGGTGTATGGAAGGGGTACAGTTTCAGCTTTCTACATATGGCCAGCCAGTTTTCCCAGCACCATTTATTAAATAGGGAATCCTTTCCCCATTTCCTGTTTGTATCAGGTTTGTCAAAGATCAGATGGTTGTAGATGTGTGGTATTACTTCTGAGGGCTCTGTTATGTTCCATTGGTCTATATCTCTGTTTTGGTACGAGTACCATGCTGTTTTGGTTACTGTAGCCTTGTAGTATAATTTGAAGACTGGTAGTGTGATGCCTCCAGCTTTGTTCTTTTGGCTTAGGATTGTCTTGGCAATGCGGGCTCTTTTTTGGTTCCATATGAACTTTAAAGTGGTTTTTTCCAATTCTGAGAAGAAAGTCATTGGTAGCTTGATGGGGATGGCATCGAATCTATAAATTACCTTGGGCAGTGTGGCCATTTTCATGGTACTGATTCTTCCTATTCATGAGCATGGAATGTTCTTCCATTTGTTTGTATCCTCTTTTATTTCATTGAGCAGTGGTTTGTAGTTCTCCTTGAAGAGGTCCTTCACATCCTTTGTAAGTTGGATTCCTAGGTATTTTATTCTCTTTGAAGCAATTGTGAATGGGAGTTCACTCATGATTTGGCTTTCTGTGTGTCTCTTATTAGTGTATAAGAATGCTTGTGATTTTTGCACATTGATTTTGTATCCTGAGACTTTGCTGAAGTTGCTTATCAGCTTAAGGAGATTTTGGGCTGAGACGATGAGGTTTTCTAAATATACAATCATGTCATCTGCAAAAAGGGACAATTTGACTTCCTCTTTTCCTAATTGAATACCCTTTGTTTCTTTCTCCTGCCTTATTGCCCTGGCCAGAACTTCCAACACTATGTTGAATAGAAGTGGTGAGAGAGGGCATCCCCGTCTTGTGCCAGTTTTCAAAGGGAATGCTTCCAGTTTTTGCCCATTCAGTATGATATTGGCTGTGGGTTTGTCATAAATAGCTCTTATTATTTTGAGATACGTTCCATCAATACCTAGTTTATCGAGAGTTTTTAGCATGAAGGGCTGTTGAATTTTGTCAAAGGCCTTTTCTGCATCTATTGAGATAATCATGTGGTTTTTGTCTTTGGTTCTGTTTGAATGGTGGATTACGTTTATTGATTTGCATATGTTGAACCAGACTTGCATCCCAGGGATGAAGCCAACTTGATCGTGGTGGATGCGCTTTTTGATGTGCTGCTGGATTTGGTTCGCCAGTATTTTATTGAGGATTTTCGCATCGATATTCATCAGGGATATTGGTCTAAAATTCTCTTTTTTTGTTGTGTCTCTGCCAGGCTTTGGTATCAGGCCTCATAAAATGAGTTAGGGAGGATTCCCTCTTTTTCTATCGATTGGAATAGTTTCAGAAGGAATGATACCAGCTCCTCTTTGTACCTCTGGTAGAATTCGGCTGTGAATCTGTCTGGTCCTGGACTTTTTTTGGTTGGTAGACTATTAATTATTGCCTCAATTTCAGAGCCTGTTATTTGTTTATTCAGGGATTCAACTTCTTCCTGGTTTAGTCTTGGGGGGGTGTATGTGTCCAGGAATTTATCCATTTCTTCTAGATTTTCTAGTTTATTTCTGTAGAGGTGTTTATAGTATTCTCTGATGGTAGTGTGTATTTCTGTGGGATCGGTGGTGATATCCCCTTTATCATTTTTTATTGCATCTATTTGATTCTTCTCTCTTTTCTTTTTCATTATTCTTGTTAGCAGTCTATCAATTTTGTTGATCTTTTCAAAAAACCAGCTCTTGCATTCAATTGATGTTTTGAAGGGTTTATTGTGTCTCTATCTCCTTCAGTTCTGCTCTGATCTTAGTTATTTCTTGCCTTCTGCTAGCTTTTGAATGTGTTTGCTCTTGCTTCTCTAGTTCTTTTAATTGTGATGTTAGGGTGTCAATTTTAGATCTTTCCTGCTTTCTCTTGTGGGCATTTAGTGCTATAAATTTCCCTCTACACAGTGCTTTAAATGTGTTCCAGAGGTTCTGGTATGTTGTGTCTTTGTTCTCATTGGTTTCAAAGAACATCTTTATTTCTGCCTTCATTTCGTTATGTACCCAGTAGTCATTCAGGAGCAGGTTGTTCAATTTCCATGTAGTTGAGTGGTTTTGAGTGAGTTTCTTAATCCTGAGTTCTAGTTTGATTGCACTGTGGTCTGAGAGAGAGTTTGTTATAATTTCTGTTCTTTTACATTTTCTGAGGAGTGCTTTACTTCCAACTATGTGGTCAATTTTGGAATAAGTGCAATGTGGTGCCGAGAAGAATGTATATTCTGTTGATTTCGGGTGGAGAGTTCTGTAGATGTCTATTAGGTCCGCTTGGTGCAGAGCTGAGTTCAATTCCTGGATATTCTTGTTAACTTTCTGTCTCATTGATCTGTCTGAAAATCAGAGCACCTCTTCTCCTCCAAAGCAACACAGCTCCTCATCAGCAACGGAATAAAGCTAGACGGAGAATGACTTTGATGAGTTGAGAGAAGAATGCTTCAGACACTCGGTAATAACAAACTTCTCTGAGCTAAAGGAGGATGTTCAAACACATCACAAAGAAGCTATAAACCTTGAAAAAGGATTAGATGAATGGCTAACTAGAATAAACAGCTTAGAGAAGACCTTAAATGACCTGATGGAGCTGAAAACCATGGCATGCGAACTACGTGATGCATGCACTAAGCTTCAGTAGCCAATTCGATCAAGCGGAAGAAAGGGTATCAGTGATTGAAGATCAAATGAATGAAATGAAGCAAGAAGAGAAGTTTAGAGAAAAAAGAGTAAAAATAAATGGACAAAGCCTGTAAGAAATATGGGACTATGTGAAAAGACCAAATCTATGTCTGATTGGTGTACCTGAAAGCAATGGGGAGAATGGAACCAAGCTGGAAAACACTCTTCAGGATATTATCCAGGAGAACTTCCCCAGCCTGGCAAGGCAGGCCAACATTCAAATTCAGGAAATACACGGAACGCCACAAAGATACTCCTCGAGAAGAGCAACTCCAAGGCACATAATTGTCAGATTCACCAAAGTTGAAATGAAGGAAAAAATGTCAAGGGCAGCCAGAGAGAAAAGTCAGGTTAGCCACAAAGGGAAGCCCATTAGACTAACAGCAAAATAAACTTTCTAAATTAACTGAGACCTGTCTCAGATATTTGGGGTTCACATGTGTATATACACACATTCTCATGCATATACATATACACAACTATGTAGTCTTACAGTAGATATTCCCCAGATTCAGAATGACTCAGGAATCTCTCAGGGCCCTATTCTTATAGAAATTAGCACCAAGAATGCAGCCAAGAAATAAACTGTAGGCTGGTCGCAGTGGCTGATGCCTGTAATCCCAGCACTTTGGGAGTCCGTTACAGGAGGATACCTTGAGCCCAGGAGTTTAAGACCAGCCTGGGCAATATGGTAAAACCCTGTCTCTATGGAGATATGCAAAAATTATCTGTGTGTAGTCACACAGGCCTGTATTCCCAGCTACTTGGGAGGCTGAGATGGGAGGATCACTTGAGCCCCAGAGGGGGAGGTTGCAGTGAGCCGAGATCACACCACTATATCCCAGCCTGAGCAATAGAGTGAGACCCTGTCTCAAAAAAATATAGAGAGACAGCAGGTACTCAGATGATGGCATGTTTTATTGATTCCTGTCTACTGTGATTACTGTCATTTTCTGGAGTAAGATTATAATTTGTATAGAACTGAAAAGCTATCATCCAAAATGACTCCTGAGTACTTATACACTGGTTAGATCAAATAGGCGAGTTAATCACATCCCTTTACTCTGAAGTAAGGTAAAGTAGTAGAATCAGCTCTTGACTGGGTTTTGCACAGCAGGGTAAGTCTGGAATTAGTGGTGACTACCTCCTTGAAACAACGATTGCTTGATGAACAGGAAGGGAAAGGGAGGATTTAAGGTCATTGAAGAATTTAGGTTGTGTAAGGGTGCATTGTGTATCTTTTCATCCTGTCGTTTTTCTAGGTCTACATGCTTCACACTTGATAACGTGTGTTATTGTATGGGTGATAATCTATAAAAACAGGTGTCCTGTGCTAATTTGTTGTAATGAGATGCTGTAGCACAAAGGGCATCTCCTCTGCATCACTACCTTTCATTCCCAAACAATGTGTAATCCTTATTAAAGAATGAAGCTTTATCATGAAAAATACTCACAAACTTGCATGGGCCAAAGGTGAGCAAGAGAAGAGAAGGTAAGATTCCTTTTGATCCTCCTATCTTCATACAGAGAAATATATCAGAGCAAGGTCTGGAGTGCGAGTCTACATTCCAGTGCAAAGACTCTGCCCTTGCTGTGATAGGGTGAAAAAAATATTCCCCTCAACACATCCAAGTCAAAGCCTTGGAACCTCTGAATGTTACTTTGCTTGGAAAAAGGGCCTTTGCAGATGTAATTATGTTAAAGATTTTGAGAGGAGATAATCCTGGATTATACGGATAGACACTAAGTCCAGTGATCTGTTTTTATAAGAGAATGCCCTCCCAGACAGACAGATGGAATAGGAGAATGTTTAGACAGAAGAAGAGAAGAGAATGGGAAGATAGAGGTAGTGACTGGAATGATGTGGCCACAAGGAAAGGAAGTCAAGAAATGCTGACAGCCACCAGAAGCAGAAAGAGGCACGGAAAATTGTCCACCCAAACCGCTGGGGAGGTATGGCCTGGGACACCTTGGTATCAGATATCTGGCTTGCAGAACTGTGAGAGAACAAATTTCTTCTGTTTTAAGCTTCCCAGATTGTGATTATTTACTACAGCAGCCACAGGAATCTAATAAATACAATCCCACTCTCTTTCCACTCATAGATGAAACAAGAAAGCAAACTTTTGCATGTAGGCATAAGAGGATAAATTTGAAAATCTCTTGATATGAAGTCAGCTGTTTGGGTATGACCACTGTCTATAGCCATTGTCTGAGAGTGCCTGGTGACCACACCTAGAGATTGTGACGTCAAGTCCTCCCTGACAGAGGACACCGATCTCAGGTACAGTCTCCCTCACTGCAAGCCAAAGACAAAGGAATACTGAGAAATGAAGGGATAACTGTTATTTTAATCAGTTCTGCTTACATTGTTCTTATTTCTGAAAATGTTACATTCTGTTGCAGCAAAAATCTGGTGTTGGGACTAACAGTGCTCACCAGATAATAGATTAGGTACAAGGTAAATTTGTGATCGAGAGGAGAGATTTTATCGGTGTTATTTTGGTAAACGTATATCTTTCCTTCTGGAAATGCCTATCATTATCTGAGAAAAGGCCAGTTGAGAGATGTAAATAGTTATGATCTGGGATGATCATTTTCTTGTTTGTGCTCAAATCTACTCCTGTTTCTACCCTGATACTTCTACCACACAATAACACAAACAAACAAACAAAAAACCTGAGCATTACAAACTGCCAGGCAGGTTTCTGTCTAATGCCAATGATTGGTGACATAACATTGGTGTGTAGGAGAAATAGAAAAGTCAGAAATATTTCCCTGGCTCCGACATGGATGGAATTTCTCACAGTAGCTACATTTGCACCTTGGTCCCATCTCCTGCCACACACCTTTCCTCTCCAGTGTTACAGATCCCACTAAGGATGGTGTTTCAGTTTCTTTCTGTTTACTGTCTTTGTGACTAGTTGCTCATACTAAATCTCTCTGTTGAACCAACTGGACCTTGACTGAGTTGAAATCAAAGGGAAAAGGTCACACTGGTTCACCATCAATTTGAACTTAAATCAGTCAGTCCTGAAAGATTTAAGTTCACTTGGGTGTTCTTGGTTTAAATAATAACCAATATGTGGATGATGATTAAATTTTTCAAATAAATCTTATCTGTTCACTGTAGTATCCCAGAAGAGAGAGGTAGGACAGAGATATCTGATGATGCAGACCACCAATAAGAAGCATATCTAACGTTTGATTTAAGGCATCTGTCCGCAAAGCCTATGATCTTTCTCTAATCCAACAGGAAGATGTGCCATCCCCTTGATAGCTGGAGGGTATGATAAAATGATGGTATTTTAATTACTTACGAGCAAAGGTGAGATTCACGTCAGGTTTCTGATTTCTGAGGGAGATGAAATTCTTATTCGCTAATAGTATATATTCAAAAAGAGAGCATTGAATTATTAATTGTTAAGATGGATATAATGTCGGTCTTCTTATATGAATTGGAAATCTTTGGCCCATTGAAATGAAATGATTAAAAAACCATATTCTAGAATTTGGTATACCTGCAGATGAACTACAGCTTCACAGGCCAGAATGCATGCAAAAATATTTCACAATTTCAAGTTAATATTGAAGCAAATATTAAATTGTAAATAATATGTGTTTTTTATATTTCTGCAAACTTTTCAATGAAGACCATAGTATTTCCCTCAGGATGATTTGTTTCATTTAAGAAATTATACTTTGTTATATTCTTGCACAAATATTTCATTGTTTAACACAATTTATATTTTATCTATCCTAATGCTTTAGGATTAGGATAGATAAAATGCACTTAGCATTAGGAGATATACCTAATGCTAAATGACGAGTTAATGGGTGCAGCACACCAGCATGGCACATGTATACATATGTAACTAACCTGCACATAGTGCACATGTACCCTAAAACTTAAAGTACAATAATAATAAAATTATAAAAATAAAATAAAATAAAATAATAAAATAATTTAAATTTGAAAAAATATATATATATTTTATCTAATATGTTTAGGGTTTCTGGGGCAATGCTAATCATTGAAATACTTAAATTATGTTTGCTATGTATCCTCAAGTAATAAATATGCAAATAATTAAATATTATAAAACATGACTAAAAGCTTGATTTATTAATAATGTTATTGAAATAAAATATTGTTACTTCCAAACATGCAAAAATGAAAATAATAAACAGTAGATATAATAATTAATAGACATGGATTTGAAATCTTCAAACATTAAATTTCTAGAAAATTAAAATAAAGAATTAAAAATATTTTTTAAAATACAAATACTTTTAATAGCTTTATATTTTCATAGCAGACATTAGAAATTCAACCTTGTTTCCAGCAAATAAGGACTTATTCAAGCATAGAGGACTTTTTAATACCATAAGAATTCTCATTTTATGTTGCCTTTAATTTTAAAAATTATCAATAAAGTGCCTTTAATTTGAAGAATGTTTATGTGTTAAATAATATTTTTAAAGGTATTTTAGTATTAATATTTTATATAAATTATATTCCTTCATTAATGAGAAATGCAACTGACATTGGGCTATCACTTTTAGGAATGTTGGTTAAGTGTTTACAAAGTTTTTTATAATGATAATTTTATAATTTTTATTTACCTAAATTTCGGAGAATGTTAAAAATTACTATATGTAAGTATTTTTACAGATAAGTGAATATGTCACTTGCTATACAACATATTCTCTATAATTGAGATTTGTATGGTTGAAAAAAATCTGTGCAATAACAAGAGGGGCAATTCACAGCAAATATTTTCAGCACATCTTCTTACATGCTTCTAATCCATATGACTTTAAGGTAGAAGTGAAAAAATTTTCACTCCAGCCTTCCTATCCTAAAAATGAGATGACTCACTTCCAAAGAGGCTTTTATCTCAAAATAAAACAGATGCCTCATAGGAGAAGATAACACAACAAAACATTCTGACTTACACCCTATTTTTGTTCTTTATATTTGCTGCTGGCTTTCTAATAGACTATAGATTTCTCATCTCCCTTTCAAATTCGTATGATCTTTGCAAGTATCTATAAGGCAGGTATTATTACCATTTTACAGATTAGAAAACTGAAAGATTATGTTAACATAATCTTTATTTCTTGAGTAGCAAACTAAATTAAATGCTTTTTAATATAGGTAATCATAGCCATTATGTGTCAGAGTGCTTTCCATAAACCACATTCTGTGTTAAGTCCTTTATATAATATTTATTTAATTCTCTCAATAGTATGAGTTAGATTTTAATGTCACCATTTTACAGATGAAGAGACTGGACTTTAGAGAGAGTAAGTTAAATGTCACCTCTTCTAAATGGTAGAGATAAGTTTTGAAACCAGGTCTACCTGATTTCAAAGAGGAAGCACTTCCTGTAAAAAATAACTTGATACTAGAAAGGAATTTCATTAGGTCTATTTCTAAGCTTTTAAGTATGTGGTTACATATCCATTTTGCATATTTCAGAAAAGTCAAATACTATTAGCCCTGATAGTCACTTCTTTTTAAAAATTGTTTCTCTTGGACCTGAGAGCTTACATTTCTACAGATAGAAATACTAAAGTTGAACAACCTTGTTCCAATTTAATAAATAATAATTTGTATTAGAGTAGTAGGAAATGTATTTTAAAAGTCATTGTATATGTCTGATTTGTTCAACCTAAAGTTCTATTCAAATAAAATGGTAATGTGGGACAGATCATTAATTATAACCCCAATTTATTTCATGGATATGGACTGTACATTCAAATTTCATTTATATCTTTAGTCAATGCGTGCACGTGATCAGGAATGTAAATGACTTAATACCATTCATCTATGTGACTGGGGAAAATTTTAAACTGAAAGACCTATTATAGATAAATTAACATTTTTATTTCTACTATGAAAAATTCCTGTTAGTTTTAATAAGAGGAATATACACCCTTCATAGCCCAAGTATGAAGTTATAAGTACATAACAACATATCAACAGAGTGACTGCAAAGGAAGTGTCATAAGTAGAGATTTACATCATTACCCACCCCATAAATAAAGAAATAAAAAACATGCAAAAATAGTTGAGATAAGAGTCCAATATGCATGGCAAATAAAAAATTGCAGAGAAATGCATGATTTATATAAAATGGGAAGGGAACTTTGAGGGCAGACATAGAACTCTTGAAGTTATGAGCACATTGCCTCAAAGCAAGAAATTAATATCTTGGGTGGTACCACTAATTTTTACCAGAATATGGTGATGAGAATTGATTATGCCTCAAGAAAGACAACACATACCTGATTACAATCCCAACACTGATAATTAACAACGTACTGGGGCTGAGAAAACAAATCAACTTGTGTGTCAAACAGATATTGGAGCACAGTTGATTGAGCAGATAGAATTTTTGTGTCACTTTTTCTTGTATATTTAATCTTTCATGAAACTGCCGAAGTGCTCTTTAGGTACATGTATCATTTTGTAACACATACCCTTAGCAACATATAAACATTTTAGTTTCTTTACAACTAAATAATAGTTGTTATCTTTTTTAATTTTAGCAAATTTATTGTGTATTGATATTTCATTATTATTTGAATTTGTATTTCCTTGATGGCTAAAGATGTTCAATCTCACAGGCATTGAAACATAGGATTACAGATTCGAATGTAGATATCTTTTGAGGACATTTTTTAGCCTACCAGTATCTGCTCTTTGGAACTCAAAGATTCATGTCCATCCCACATGCAAAATACGTTCATCTTATTCCAATATCTTTCAAAGTACTAACCCATTGTAGTACCAACTTAGGTTCACAATGCCATTTAATTATTATAAACTCAAAAATTTCAAAGCTCTTTATCTAAATAACCTAAGTTAGGTATAGATGAGTCTTTGGGAATAATTACTCAGTGGATTTTCTCTCCATCTGTGGACCTCTCAAACTAGAAAAGTAATCATGCTTTCCAAATACAATGGTGGGACAAGCATACAATAATAGTATAGCTATTTCCATTTTGAAAGGGATAAAATGTAGGAAAGAAACACTAGTCCCAAGCAATTTTGAAATGTAGCAAAAAAAAAAGAAATGTTTTCAAGGCTTGGGAATAATTTCCAGTGGCTTTAGGTGGCATCATCTGGACCTATTGCTCTGCTGTTTTTGCCAACAACTTGGGCATCTGCCTCTGAACTCACTCAGCTCCACTCTCTGATTCCTCAAGATATTCTTTTTTCTTAAAGCGTGGTATATGTTTTTAGATAAGTGGTTTTATCAATCTATTTCCCACCTGTGAAACTGCAAGAGTGATAGTCTTACTCATTTCATCCTGTCGCTGTCCCTTTCAGTTGAAGCTGGCAGTGTTTTGGCTGATACACCATTCTAAAAAACCCTGTAAATCTGCATGTGATATGGGGATTTACACCACTGGCAAGAGTGTCTTCCACAGGTATTTACTGAGGAATCCCATTTCTGACATTCCTTTGCTTATGGCCATATGATTCAATTCTTTGCCTCCGTCTTATTCCCTTCACCTTTCTGCGTGTATAATCCAGGGTAATTTCTCCATGTCGTGATACTTCCTTAATCACATCTTAAAGGTTTTTCTTTTAAGGTACCAGAGATTAATAGAACCTGATATATTTCAGTGTTTTTTTTTCTTTCTGTTAGACTGTTGTTAGACTTCAACACTGGTTGAAGTCAAGCAACTGGAAGTATAGGTCTCCTATTAAAGGAAATAAAGATTATTGCAGAAGCAGCAAGTTTGTTCTTAATGGTTTTAAAAAGTACATAGCTAGCATTATAACTAGCACACAGTAAGTTCCCCAAAATTGCAGCTCACTATTAATTGATGTTATATTATTTATTTATTATTGGACATCTCTGAATATACTGTAAATCTCATTTAAAATATATTTAACTTCTCAGATTACTAGTTAAGGATACATTTAATTCAATTATTTTGTGAATATTACTTTAAATTTTTTTAACTTTTGTTTTAGATTCTGGGGTACTCGTGCAGATTTGTCATGTAGGTAAATTCTGTGTTGTGGGGGTTTGGAGTACAGATATTTCATCACACAGGTACTAAGCATAGTACCTGAAAGTTACTTTCCTGAAGCTGTCCTTCCTTCCAACCCCTCCTTCTGGTAGGCCCCATGACTATTGTTCCCCTCTTTGTGGCCATTTGTTCTCATTATTAACTCCCACTTACAAGTGAGAACATATATTTGGTTTTCTGCTTCTGAATTAGTTTATTAACGATAATGGCCTCCAGCTCCATTCATGTTTCTGCAAAGCACATAATCTTGTTCTTTATTATGACTGCATAGTATTCCACTGTGTATATGTACCACATTTTCTTTATCTAGTCTATGATCGGTGGACATTTAGTTTGATTCCATGTCTTTGCTATTGTGAATAGTGCTGTGATAAACATACATGTTCATGTATCTTTATGGTAGAATGATTTATATTCCTTTAGGTATATATCTAATAATGAGATTCCTGGGTTAAATGGTAATTCTATTTTTGGTTCTTTCATAAATTGCCAAACTGGTTCCACAATGGCTAAACTAATGTACAGTCTCAACAGCAGTGTATAAGCATATCCTTTACTTCACAACCTAGCCAGCATCTCCTAATTTTTGACATTTTAGTAGTAGCTATTCTGACTTGTTTGAGATGGTACCTCATTGTGGTTTTGATTTGCATTTTACTAATAATAAGTGATGTTGAGCATTCTTTCATATGCCAGTGGGCCACATGCATGTCTTCTTTCAAAAAGTGACTGTTCATGTACTTTGCCAACTTTTAATAGGGTTGGTTTTTGCTTGTTAATTTGTTTAAGTTTGTTATAGATTTTGTATATTAGACCTTTGTTGGATGCATAGCTTGCAAATATTTTCTCCCATTCTGTAGGTTGTCTGTTTATTAATTTTTAAATTTTGGCTATTCAGAGGCTCTTTAGTTTAATTAGGTCCCAATTGTCAATTTTTGCTTTTGCTGCAATTACATTGGCATTTTCAACATAAATCTTTGCCTGGTCCTATGTCCAAAATGATATTTCCTAGGTTTTATTCCAGGACTTTTATGGTTTTAGGTTTCACATTTAAGTCTTTGATCCATCTTGAGTTGATTTTTGTATATAGTGTAAGGAAGGGGTCCAGTTTTGATCTTCTTCATAGAGCTAGCCAGTTATCCCAGCATCATTGATTATATAGGGGGTCCTTTCCCCATTGATTGTTTTGGTTGACTTTGTTGAGGATCAGATGATTGCAGATATGTGGCATTGTTTCTCAGTTCTCTTTTCTGTTCTGTTGTTCTATGTGTCTGTTTTTGTGCCAATACCATGCTATTTTGGTTACTGCAGCCCTGTAGTATAGTTTTAAGTTTGGTAATGTGATGCCTCCAGCTTTGCTCTTTTTGCTTAGGATTGTCTTGGCTATTCTGACTCTTTTTTTGGTTTTAAGAGAATCTTAAAATAGTTTTTTTTCTAGTTCTGTGAAGAATGTCATTGGCAGTTTGATAGGAATAGTATTTAATTTATAAATTGCTTTGGGCAGTATGGCCATGATAATTCTCCCTATCAATGAACATGGAATGTTTTCCAATTGTTTGTGTCATCTCTGACTTCTTTGAGCACTGTTTCGTAATTTTCATTGTAGAGAGCTTTCACCTCCCTGGTTAACTGTAGTCCTAGGTATTTTATTCTTTTTTGGTTATTGTGAATAGGATTGTATTCTTGATTTGGCTGTCAGCTTGGATGTTGTTGGTGCATATGACTGCTTTCAATTTTTATATACTATTGCTTTATAAGATTTCTCATATTTATTCCTTTAAAACCTCTAAACTTTGCTTTTTATTATAGCAATCATTGTGGCACTCCAGAATAATGATCTTTAAAACTTAGCTAGTAGAAGTTCAGATTTCCCTGAAATGTCAAAGACTCTTTGAAAGGCTGAGTGATAATTATGGTTACATTTAATTGTCAAAAATATGAACAACTGCTGTTAAAAAAAGAAAGAACATATCCTTTGAGAATTTCTGCTAGTTTTAAATCATTGAAGCTTTTTTTGTAATTATCATTTTTATAGCATTGTGAAAGAAAGCTTAAGATTTAGGTCCAGAAATATCTAAAGTTAGTTTAAAGTTATTGATTTATTTTACTCTTCATTATAACTGTGAATAGGTACAATATGCTAATCATATAATTTTTAAATAGTCACTGTCACACACCAACAAAGTGCTAAAATGATTAAGAAGTTAAATATCTCTAATGAAATCATGTGTACTTATTTACCATTTATTTTGCTTTTGCTTATGGAAATAGTGGCTATAAATATTATATAGAACTCATTTTTTCAATGTCAAAATAAAGAGGTTATAATCAAACAACTTTAAAAATATATATCATACTTGATATATATATTTTCTATTATACTATTTTAAACATATATATATCAGTAGGAACTGTTTAGATGCTTTGGATACAGCAGCAAACCAGAAAGTAAACCCTGCCCTTGCAGAACTTACATCCTAGTGGAGCAGAAGCAATAACAAACAGTTAAAAAAAAAAAAAAGACTAGATTAGAGAGCAATAATTCTATGGAGAAAAGTAAAATAGAGAAGAGAGATTAGTGGTAATGAGAAGTGACATAGCAATTTTCAGTAATGTGGATTGATTAGACTCATTGGAAAGTCAGTATTCAAAAAAAGACCTGAAGGATTGAGAGACAGAGCCATCGGAATATCGGAGGGAAAACATTTGACCAGAGGAAACTTTGTTGTGTTTGAGAAACACTGATAATGCCAGTGTGTCTAGAGCAGAGTGAGAAAGGGGTTAGGGCAGTGGTTGAATATAAGGTTAGAAAATAATAGGGCCCACCCTATTGGGTCATGTAGGCCAGGGTAAGCATTTTGGATGTAATACCGACGGAGCAACGTTTCTTTGGAAAGTTTTGAGCAGAAGACTATGTTATCTAATTGCATTCAAAAAGGGTTATTTCTTTGTGAAGACTGAACTCAGTTTGGCGTAGGGTGTGTATTGATAGCCTGGAAGGTTAGTAAGTTACTGAGGAAAAATATTTAATCAATTTAATATGTTAAAGATACCTAAACTCCATAATGAATAAAACTTATTTCAAAGCTGATAACCCAATAAATATGGAATTATAATGTACTACAGTTTTATTAAATAATACTGACAAAACTTTGTATATAATTACTAAATAAGGCAACTGTAAAATTTGTTTTTTGCTCTTGAACCTGATTTTAGGAAAATTAACTGAACTTGAAAGAACAATAATTAGAAGCATCTAAATTTGGAGATGCTTGAGTTGTTATGTAGTAGGATTGTATATCTTCATCGAGATTTATTTCTTCAAATAAGTCTTGGATGCCAGTCTGATACAGAAAAGCTTTTAATGATCATGGTTGCGTGATTCTTTAGGGTGTCTTTTAGGAAGACACTCTTATTACAAGACTTTTACTGATTTTTCTTTCATATTTACTTTCCCGTATCTGCTCTGTCCAATAAAGTAGCCACTGCTTACTTGTTTCTCTTGAACACTTAAAATGTGGCTAGTCTGAATTACAATGTGCTCTAAGTGTAAAATACATGCTAAATCTCAAATATTTAGCCTAAAAAATAAGCTATTTATTGATAATTGTTTTTATATTGCCTATGTGCTGAAATATAATAGATTACATGTGAAAATATTTTTTACATATTGGGTTAAACAAAAAATACTATTAAAATTACTTTGTACAGCCTCATTTTATCTTTATTTAAATGTGGCTGCTAGAAAATAATAATAACATTTTTATTGGACAGTGATGGTTTAGACACCAAATAATCTCTAAAGCTAGTTTAGTTTTCAAAAGTATAATCCTTATACAAGAATAATAAGTAGAATAAGACAGAGTCAAAATAGATTTAATGTATGGGATTTTGCATGTGATAGTGATAGTAGAATACATAATTTGGGAAAAGATAGTTGAATTAATGATATGGGTGCAAGTGGATAGCTATGTGCAAAAAATCTGGTTCTCTTTCTATGAGAATCAGAGCTTTCTATAGTGTATCAACATTTAGAAAAATAAATTTAAGACAAAATATCCCACACAAAGAACCCGATAGCCTGAAGTGTTTTGGACCAAGAAAAATCTCAGGGTAAGCTCTGGCCACAACAAATTGCTTCGATCTTTCTTTTTTTCACTATCTCTCTGTCACACTTATCTGTTTTCCTCTTTAACACTTTGTTTTTCTAAGTAGTTGCATCAAGTATTTCAAAAAGAAACTTTTTCACATACAACTGTATTTTTAAATAAATTCGACATTATAATGCCCGACTTCAAAGCTTCAAGTGACAGACTAATGCAGCTGATGACTTTAAGCTGAGGCCAATGTTCACTTATCATCCCTCAAACCCTGGGATTCTTAAAAAATATGCTAAATCTACTTTGTCTACGCTCTATAAATGTAAGAACAAAGCCTAGTTGACAGAACATCTGTTTACAGCATGGTTTACTCAATATTTTAAGCCCACTGTTGATACATACTCTGCAGAAAAAGATTGCTTTCAAAATATTACTGCTCATTGAGAATGCACCTGGTCACTCAAGAGTTCTGATGCAAATATACAAGGAGATTTAGGCTTTTTTCATGTCTGCTAACACAGCAGCTATTCTACAGCCCATGTATTAAGGAGTAACTTTTACTTTCAAATCTTATTATTTAAGAAATATATTTTATAAAGTTATAGCAGCCATAGATATTGATTCTTCTGATGCATCTGGGCAAAGTACATTTAAAACCTTCTGGCTGGGTGCAGTGGCTCACACCTGTAATCCCAGCACTTTGGGAGGCCGAGGCAGGCAGATCATGAGATCAGGAGTTTGAGACCAGCCTGGCCAATATGGTGTAACCCCGTCTCTACTAAAAATACAAAAATTAGCTGGGTGTGGTGGTGCATGCCTGTAGTCCCAGCTACTTGGGAGGCTGAGGCAGAAGAATTGCTTGAACCTGGGAGGCGGAGGTTGCGGTGAGCCCAGATCATGCCACTGCACTCCACCCTAGGGGACAGAGAAAGACTCCATCTCAGAAAAAGAAAAAAAAAATTCTGGAAAAGATTCACTATTTTAGAGGCCATTAAGAACATTTGTGATTCATGGGAGGAAGTCAAACATCAACACTAACAGGAGTTTGAAAGAAGATTCCAACTCTTATGGATGACCTTGAGGGGTGCAAAACTTCAGTGGACGAAGTTGCTGCAGATATGGTTGTTGCAATGTCATTATAAAACTTTAACAGGCCGGGTGCGGTGGATCACGTCTGTAATCCCGACACTTTGGGAGGCCGAGGTGGGTGGATAATTTGAGGTCAGGAGTTTGAGACCTGCCTGATCAACATGGTGAACCCTTGTCTCTACTAAAAATACAAAAAAAAAATAGCTGGGTGTGGTGGTGTGCACCTGTAGTCCTAGCTAGTCAGGAGGCTGAGGCAGGAGAATCACTTGACCTCGGGAGGCAGAGGTTGCAGCGAGCCAAGACTGTGCCACTGCACTCTAGCCTGGGTGACAAAGAGAAGAGACTTGGTCTCAAAAGAAAAAAAAAAAAAAAACTTGAACAGATGAGGGATTGGTTCATATAAATGAGCAAAAAAATTAGTGGTTTTTTGAGAAGGAATCTATACTGTGAAGATTCTGTGAAAATTGTGGAAATGAGAGCAATACAGCATTTAGAATACAAACATAAGCAACAAAGGATTTAGCCTATTTCATAAGCTTAGTTGATAAAGCAACAACAGGGTTTGAGAGGATTGACTTTAATTTTGAGAAAAGTTCCACTGTGGGTAAATTGATATCAAACAGCATCAAATGCTACAGAGAAACCGTCTGTGGAAGGAAGAGTTAACTGATGCAGCAAACTTCATTGTTTTCGTATTTTAAGAAACTGCCACAGCTGCTCCAACTTTCAGCAATCACCACCCTGATCAGTCAGCAGCCATCAAGGCAAGATCCTCTACCAGCAAAAAAGGTTAATAAAGCAATTTTTCTTTTTAGCAATAAATAATCTTTTCATTAAGATGTGTACTTCTTTTTAGACATAAGTGCTATTGCACACCTACTAGACTACAGTATAGGGTAAACATAACTTTTATATGCACTTGGAAACCAAAACATTTGTGTGATTTGTTTACTGCAATATTTACTTTATTGAGATAATCTAGAACTAAACCCTCAAAATCCCTGAGGTATGACTGTAATCGGAAAGCAAAACAAGAAACTTAAGAAGATATGAAAGTAGGTTATTGTTTGAGTCATCCTGAATAAATAATACAGCTGTGGTGGGAAGACATCATGTGCCAGACCTAACATTTCTTCTCCAAAAGAGGAGTAAACAGGTAAGCAATGATGGTGACAACATGGAATTCAGGCTGACCTTAGTGACAGTGAAGAAAAGTTCAATATGAGCATTCTGTAGGAAGCATCTGGGAGAACTGAGGAAAGGCAGGATGCTAACCTTTCACTTGAAACTAGAGTCATGTCATCTGGAAGGCTCCGGGAAAATTCATATTCCAGGAGGGAACCAGAATCCAGTTACGTAAAAAAAGATGGAGGGGGATTCTTAGTAAAGAGGTCAAGGTAGGCTTTTACAAAATTAATTAATTTTTTTAAATGTTTATTACCATGAAAGGGATATTTTAGACAGCCTGGTAAAAGGTTTAGGGGAAATGGGATGGGTTGAGGGAGAAAGAAGTACAAATAGGTTTGAGGATAAAATTTTATGAAAAGACAAATGACTGGAGAGGTTTACACTGCAGGCCATGAACAAAACATTATGGATGTAGTAATTGGCCAAATGACTGACAAAAGAGTTACATATCAGAAATACTCTGATGGATAGGTTGCGGTGGTAGTCTCATCTGTGGAAGCTAAGGGCACAGAAGGTAAGGCCACTTAAGGTGCTGGCTGTTCTCTGTAATGGCATGTGGGAAGGGTGTTAAACCCTGGAGCCCTGGTAGTATTGATGCCAATAGTAGAGCTAGCAGAAAGCCTTGTAATCAGCTTGCTACCCACTCTGTAGACATTGAGGTGAACCAAGCAGAGCCCAGAGGGCACAGCTTCTCCTTTGGCAATAGAGAAATATGTTTGCCAATGAGCATCATGAGCCTCTAGATTGGATCCAAGGAATGCCAGATCTGCTTCTACAAAGATGGCATCAAAGGCTCATACATTCTACTTGAAATGCTCATCTTCTTCATGAGGCGGTCTTATAAAAACCATGCCAAAGATACTTTTAAAGCGTAATTTGTTCTCAGCTGATTGCTCCCAGAACTGAAATAATTAATACTCAGTGAAAATTATGTAAAAAAATAATTGAGAGAAGTTATCAACTAAGGAGGCATGCTTATGAATAAAAAACTCCTAAAAGCTAACATTATATAATTTTTGGTTTTCCTTATAGTTTTGAAATTTATACATATACTTTACATGAAGTATTTAGGGCACAGATTTAGAAAAATAAGGGAGAAATATTTGCTTGTGTTGCAAGTACTTTTCTTACAGAGGTTAAGACCTCACCATATATATATATACCTATAAATTCAATGTACATACTCCCATACCTCTAATGCTAACTCTAGCCTTGAAATAAATTGGTCCTCTTGTGGAGAAAAATCAAGCATAACACCATGAGCACGAATGTTTCTTTGAAGATACCAGGCATGAGGAAAGGGTGGAGGTTGTAACCTCAGGAAGTGCGGTTGACTATTTTACAGGGCTTTAGCAGGAGGCAGCCAGCTGAAGTTAGGTTAGTTGTACAGAGACAGTACTAAAAAGAGGGAGGCATTATTTTTTCAGATTAGCAGCCACTTTTGTACTATTTGGATTTTATCAAAAGGAGGGAGATGAAGAGTTGGGGCCTAGGTCACATGCTAGGAACATGTTATGCAATAGCTACAAGGGACAAGGACATGTGAGGGTCAGAGTGGACGTTTTTCAGTCTTCCATGTCTCTCATAATGTTCTATTCCTGTTTTATCAGTAAATAAAATTAAAAGTACATAAATCAGCTTATATCCAAATGAAGATTATAAACCAAAGGTGAAATTTTGAGTTCGAAGCTTATTTGGAGTTCAAATTTCCTCATATTCCAGAAATAAAATTTTGCCCTGTTGATTTAACTATAGGATTAGTTTGGAATCTATGTGTGGTACATTTTAAATCTAGGCCATCATTCATGCATTTACTTATTATTTTATTCATTGGCAAACATCTATTAAAGAGTTACTATGTGCCAGGCTGTACAAGGCACTCAGTAAAAAACAGAACAGAAGAAAAAATAATTCCTGGTCTTAAAGGGCTTGTGTTCTTAAACTATAAGTTATGATATCTTACTAAACACCATGACTTAATAATGACTTCGTATCTCAATCTATAATATCGTAACAAGATTAATAACTGCTAACCTGTAAAATGAAAATTTCAAGGTATTATATAGTGATAAATGTAAATTACAAGAAAGACATTCAAATGTGTAAATATGCCTCATGCAGCTTGTATTTGTAGAATTCTTTCTTATTCAAAGAGATTTGAAAATTATGGAGAGAATGAGGTCATTCAATGTATATAGCACCCAAAAACTAAATGCGATGTGAGTAATTGAAATATAAAATTTATAATGTTTATCTTTGTACCATGAAGTATTATTCAATACTCAAAAATAGTATGTTTCAAATAACCTAGAATATTTTTAGATTTTTATTAATAACAGTTTTAAAGAAATGCATATAACAAGAACTAGACAGTTGAATGAAAGATTGAAATGGACTGTACAACTGCCTGTAAAGGTCTTATTTTTTCCTAGCCAAAGGGGGGAAAATGTAAAAGGTGGAATAGGCCTGAGAGAACTTTAACTTGCGTGACCAATATTCAGTGACCTTGGCTGTTTTATAGGAGATCACATTTTATTTTTGTACAGATAAACTGCTGAACAGTATCTGCAATGCACTGAAAGAAAAAACCTTTTTCTGCATTTATCATGTTACTATAACCCTCCTTCCACCCCCTGCTCACTGAGATGTTCATTTCTTTTTGCAACTTAGAGCAGGACAGAAGTTCTATGAAAAAAATTCACCATATACTTCTAACCATGAGTCAAAGTTTTAATACAAAAAAACTTCCCTAGCTGGAAATCTTAACCCGCTTTTGAACCTACGGGAAAACAGCTTCACATCACTTTAATTTACACATTTTATAATCATAATGTCATTTAAACATTTGCTTATTATACATGTATAAATGTATACTAGTTTTACACATTTCATCACTTATAAATCATTAACATATTTTATATTTAACTGTTATGAAAATAAAAATCATCCTGAGCATTAAGCCACTTGTTAGTACTAAGACATTCCAAAACGGATTTTTTCCTTTGTTCAATGTATCACTTTTCCATATTATTACCCTTTTAAAATCACTTTATATAGTGATTTCTACCCATGTTTTTTTGGGGGGGGTTCCAAAATTTAGTTTCCTAATAGTGAGATGTACAAACAAATGATGTTTTGAAATAATCAATGGGATTTTTATTTAAGAGAATACAAGTTTAATAACCATCAGAAGGATCTTATTAGAAATCAAAGAGTAGAAGTAAGGGGATTCAGTTACATTAAAGGGTGCATGGTATTCTCTGAAATACTCTAATTTTTATTAATGAAATAAGTAAAAGTAAATGACTAATTTACTTTTTTACTAATAAGTAAAACGTAAAATGACTCTTATCATTTAGATGAGAAAAAGTTTGATTCCACTTTATTTGTAGAGGTAAACACAAAAAATACCAATTCCAGGAAGTGATAAGAATAACTATATAACTGTAAAGGCGAAATATAGCTTGTGATATATTGCGGATTGAATTCCATGTTTAATCCTTGTGATAACTCTCAGAGTTAGATTAAACTTGAGCAAAATTTATTTTCCTTCTGCATTCTTATAATGACTTTTCAGTCCTTGGCATTTCTTGAATTTTCAAATATATGAAGTCAAGGGTCCATTTTTGAAAAGTTTTTTCTTAAGAAGATATATGCATATATATATAATATACATATATATGTATGTATATATGCATAGTTGCATATATAGTTGCATAAAAGATTGAAATTGACTGTACAACTGCCTGCAAATGTCTTATTCAACCACCGCCATGCCCGGCTAATTTTTTTTGTATTTTTAGTAGAGACAAGGTTTCACCATCTTGGCAAGGCTGGTCTTGAACTCCTGACCTTGTGATTCACCCGCCTCAGCCTCCCAAAGTGTTGGGATTACAGGCGTAAGCCACCGCACCCGGCCCACTTATATTTTTTTGACATGACATTCTATAAAGCAAATCTTACTAATGGTATTCATAATTCTATGAAGATTGATAAAAGGCTGGGCTTTTGTTTGTTTATTCCTGCTAATTACTCACCAGTATTTTCCTGATCTTTTATTCAAGCTTATTTCTTTATGTTGGGGTCTGCCAATCTTATAATGTTCAAACCTGTTGTATGAAATGGAAATGATTTGCCTTCCTACTCGGAAAAAACTTTATATTATTTTAATATAGACTTCTTTAATAATACATGATTTTTCCTGCCATAATTTTTACTTCTGGTACCTTCAGTAGCATCCTGTGAAAAGTCTGACCTAATACATATCCATTTCTCTGTCTAGCATAAGAATGACAGAGGCAAAGAAGAAATGAGAGATGAGATGAATGATGACTCATTTTTCAATATCTTAGAATAAAAAGACTGTTGGCTTCTCGAGTTTAAATTGCCATTTCCAACTCACATTGAACTATTATAGCTTACAAACTTGTCGTTTCAATGAAATTAACATTTATTGAACATTTCCTAAGTGCCTAGTCACTAGGCTGTGAGGGACAGTAAGATGAATCATGTGGCTGTAGTGCTTCAGAATTTTGTGAACAAGTGGTGGAGACACTAAAATATGAATATTTTTATTCAAAAATACAGAACACAGTGATAATAGAAACACAAAATTTTATGAGTGTTAAATGTGGAGAACTTGATTTTCTCTGGAATCATTCTCAGAAGGCTTCGTGAAGAGGGTGAGTTTGAAACTGCCCCATGTTCTTCACCCTGCATACAATATTACGTCCATTTTCAAATTAAAAAGTCCCAATCACAGCAATGGTAATTTGTTCTTTGATGTATTCCAGAGGCAAGCATGACCCTTCCATGAGGGACGTGGTATGGAAGTGCTGATTCCTAGCGAAGATGATTATTGGCTAAGTCCACCAAAGTGTTCCCTCTGGGATTTAGGCCAGATAATATGGAGGTAACATAATTGCCAGTAATGAGATAAATTTGAGAGGAACATTTATTTAGAAACAAAAATGCAAATAGAATACTACTAAATGCAATAGGGGAAAACCACTTCTCAAAACTGACAAAACAAGCAATGGAAAAATAACTCCCTATTCAATAAATGGTGCTGGGACAACTGGCTAGCTGTATGAAGAAGGTTGACACTGGAACCCTTCCTTACACAATATACAAAAATCAACTCAAGGTGAATTAAAAACTTAAATGTAAAACCAAAACACTAAAAACCCTGGAAGACAACCTAGGATATACCATTCTGGACATAGGAACTTACAAAGATTTCATGACAGAGATGCTAAAAGCAAAATTTGACAAATGGGACCTAATTTAACTAAAGAGTTTCTGCACAGCAAAATGAATTATCAACAAAGTAAACAGACAGCCTACAGAATGAGAGAAAGTATTTGCAAACTATATGTCTGACAAAAGCCTAATAATGCAAATCTATAAGGAGCTTATATAAGTTAACAAGCAAGAAAAAAACAACTCCTTTAATAAGTGGGCAAATGACATGAACAGACACTTTTCAAAAGAAGACATACATGTGGCCAAGAGGCATGTGAAAAAAATGCTCAACATCACTAATAATTAGAGAAATGAAAATCAAAACCACAATGAGATATCATACCATTCTACCCAGCAATCCTATTTCTGGATATATACCCAAAGGAATATAAATAATTCTATTAGAAAGACAAATGTATGCATATGTTCATTGCAGCACTATTTACAGTAGCAAAGACACAGAATCAACCTAAATGACCATCAATGGTGGAGTGGATAAAGGAAACGTGGTACATATACACATATGCTTTGCAGGAGTATGGGTGGAGCTGGAGACCATTATTCTTAGCAAATTAACATAAGAACCGAAAACCAAAAACTGAATGTTCTCACTTGTAAGTGGGAGCTAAGTAACGAAAACCAATGGCCACAAAGAGAGAAACAACAGACACTGGGGCTTACTTGAGGGAGAGGGTTGGAAGAAGTAACTCTCCAGTAATATGCTTAACTCTCCAGTAATATGCTTAGTACCTGGGTGACAAAATAATCTGTACACCAAACCCTCGTGACACAAGTTTACCTATATAACATACCTGCACAGGTACCCCGAGCCTAAAATAAAAGTTTAAAAGGAAAATAAACTGAGAGAAAAAAAAAGTCTTTCAGAAGAGCATGGTCAGCCAACACATGAAGACCAATATGCTTAGAAAATGAGATCATGGTAAAATTATATGATGGAAAAATGGAATTGTGGTTTGTGTCCATATTTTGAAAGTATTTGAGGCAATTTATTTTTCATGCAATAGAGAATCACTTTTAAATATTTATTTAAAACTTGTGGAACAATAAAAGTCGAAATACAGAAAGCCTATATTGCGATGTGCCTGGGACAGTCCAACTTTATCCGAATGGTTGTGATATTATTAATAGTAACTTCTTTTATCCTCAAAAGTGGTCTAGTCTGAGGATTATTTTTCAGTCGAATAGCCTCTAGGAGACTATTTATGATTTCTTTACATTTACCTGTAGATCATTCCTTTAGGTTCCTATAGATAGTCCTCTATATAACACCATGCAAGTTGGGATCAATATGAATAGACAAGTTTCTAAATTTCTTGCTGTTAGCTAGAGTCCTACTACTTTGATGAACTTACTGAAAATGCTTAATTTCAAAGCACAAACTGGCTCCTAGGCAGTTTCTCAGTACAACAATTAGTCAAATTTGGACAATAAATAGCCTTATTAGTCACTCCTTTAAGCATCTGCAATACAAATATCTATTTGCAGAATAGATTTTTTTTTCTGCTCCTAACACATTTGTAGCTGATAAAAAGGAGAGCTGTATTTTTTGTTAACAATTAGCATTTGCTGCCTTTATATAAATACACTGAGTGTTGGTGGCCTGAAGCTGAATGGCAATAGTCTTTAATATCATATGGCTTACAAATAATGTAGTAAATAGTCTCTTCTCTCATCATGCAACTCCCTGGTGTGGTCAGAGGCATTATTTTGTTATGCAAATGCCCTATTTAAAGATAACATGTATACAAAGAAAAGTAATAGAAGGTCATTTCTAAGACTGGACAGATGGATGAAAAATTCCACAGAGTGCTTTGCCAAGCACCTGGCATTATTTGAATGACAGCTGATGATTAGAATCACAAAGAAGAATTTGTATTATCACAGGTGACAGTGTGACTAATTGAAGAGGTTGCTTATTACAGAAATGGTCAGTTTCCGTTCAATTACATTCAGGATCCAAGGGCTGCAGAAAATGAATACACAGCACACAGTGTTTTCTTGGGGGAATTAAATGAAGGTAGGAGGAAGAGGGGAGGAAGTCTTGCTGAGGGTGTAACGACTCACAGCGGGCTTGAGATATGTGCTGCTGAGAAGATGCTCACAGCGCAGTTTTAAAGTTGCAGAGGAAATAAGAGATAACATACCTTAAAGAGATTTTTATGTCATTCTGTAACTGCACTCGACTACGGCTTCTTTTGGAAGCACACAAAAAAATCCGATGGATTTGGGCCTCATTATGATATGTATCACTGTTTTCTAGATAATAATATGCTACAAGGCATCTTGGTGAATATTTTAAGCACACAACAATGCAGACTGTAAATATCTGTGCCTCAATTAGAATATTCAGAGATTTCACATCTTTCAAAGGGGCTTAGCCAAAGGCTTCCCCAAGCTGCACACACTGCTGCTTTGCCTCTCCTTTATGCTTTATTGAATCTGTTAGAAGAGAAACACATCTCTTAGTCATCAGACTTCTTGCTGACAACACCTGTCAGTCTGTCACTCTACTTCAGAGATAGCTACTACACGGCATCATTTGACAGAATTAGGAAGAAAATGGGAAAAAATCTATCTGAGATAATTATTCTCACAAAAGGAATGCTACAACTATTAGTTTTTGAAACTACATTCAAGGAAATACCTGGAAAGTGAAGATTAGAATGATTTTATCAAAAACATGTATCAGCGATGTTAGAAATCATGATGGATTTTCATATATCATCGAGAAACTTGAAAAAAACTCAGATGTCTTGTATCAAAAACTGAACATATATATCCTTTTCCAAAATTTATTTCTACTGAAAGGGAAATATTCTCACTCAAATTTTTGTGAAGCTAAAATATTAAATATTTCAGTGTGCAAACAAGTTTTAGAAAAGTAATTGACTTCAGAAAAGCTTTGAGAATTAAACTTCTATAGCAATTTAAAAAGCTTACTAAGTGATAGATATTTCCAAGACTAATGATTTTTAGAGTCTTTTTTTACAGAGTCTCTTATTGGTTCTTTTTATTAATTTATCTTTTATTTATTCAATACATTATAATATCTAACTTATAACATATTTTACAGTATTATCTATAAATAAGAGACAAATTACTTTAAAAAGCATGAAGTTATGTTTTTTCTTCACTGTCTTTGCAATTACTTTCTTTAAAATCAAACTATCACATAATCAGACAGCTTTAATGCCAAGAAGCACACACACACACACACACACACACAACACTACACTATATTCCTACAATCATTGATATTTTAAACTGTTGTGTTCGTCTTGTTGTTTTTCTTTGTTTTGTTGGTATAGATGCTTTACTTTTTATGAAACTATTTTAGGTAAGTAGAAAAAATTAATCAGGAAACTTTAATTTTGCCACTCTAAGTCACAGAGTAATTGAGGAATGAGTACATTGGGATTTCTTTCTTCAAAATTGTGACAATGTTTTTGTTGTTGTTGTTTCTTTGTCTCATTTTTCTAAAGGATGAAAAGGTCACCTGGAACCTCCAGAGGGAAAAACATATAAACTAATGAAAATTTAGTTAATACAATGTGTGAAATGTGTTTTTTTCTTAATGACCACAACAGAGACTTTCTTGGGAAACTATTCCTATTAGCTATGGTTTTACTATTTATTATAAATATATTTATTTCAAATTGGATGAAATATTTCTGTTTGGTATGGAGGCATCCTATAAAAGTAATACCAATAATTTTTATTATTTCCAACAGCAGAAAATAATGCCTATGGTATATATCACAAGATTTGATATCTTCTCGAATTAAGTATTGATGTCTTTTTTAACCACAAGTGACTAATTTTGTATATTTATATAATAATTTTTTTTACAATTTAGTAAGGTGTTCCTTATTTATGTATATGTGTGCATGTATATATAAGTGGATATATATGTGGATATTTATGTATATGACTTATTTTAATCTGTGTATTTTTGTTGTTGCTAAGGAAGTTTCTACAAAAGAATAACTATAGTAATGACAATAAATAGTTTTTAAATTCATTCAGGTCATGAGACTTCTTACTGTGCTATATGTTATAACTCCTTTGTTAAAACAGTATTTGTCAAAAGAAATCCCTTCACTGATTTTCTTGGGAAAATATTTCAATGCAAAATGGCTCAATTGTCCTCAAAGTACAACTTTAACGTCATTGTTCATAATCAGACCCGCTGCCATATTACCTTATTTAAAATGCCTTTCAACAGGAATGATTTTAGCTGAAGAAGAACAATTTTTAAAAATCTCCTAAAAAGCTCTTAATCAGTGAATCAGAAATCATGGGAATCATGAGCAAAATGACCCAAGAGCTTGCCTTTAAAAAATACAAGAACTGAGTACAATCTGTACTGGTATTTCAGAACCACTGCTTTTAAGAATGTTGCTTTTTATTTTAAATGTAAACCTCACATCAAATATACTTTCTGAAAGTTAGTAGTCTGTTCAGAAGTGGAATTCTATAATCATGTCTTTATTTCATCTGAGTATTTTTTGTTCTGCATTCTGAGTTCTTATTGTTTATTGCAAATAATAGCAGGGTGTTGGTTTTCTTCTTATGAATGCTTTCTTAAAGTTTCTTCTCTAAAAAGAGTCATTTTGCCTAAGGTTCCACAGGCACACTTTTTTAGAAATATATTTTTCTTTATTTTTCTTTCCCTAGCTTCTATTTAGAGGTTATTTCTAGGTTTTTCACAGCTTTATCTTTGAGCAGCCATAGTAATTGGAGTGAAGGTAGATAGATATTTTGTTACAAGATAGGTGCTCACAATAGCCTCAAATTAAAACCATAGTAAACTCTACCTATTATCCTAGGTACCTGCCACTGATACTGACCATTTGGGTCTTGGTGTGAGTATCCTTAGCTTCTCCCCCAAATTACGTAGTCTTACAACTATTTAAACCTTCCATATCATTTATTTGCAGGCAATTTTGTGGGATGTTTGCAGGTTACACTTCCAGTAACACCTTGCAAAATACATATCTAGCAAAGTCAAGAATAAGATTGAACAAATTTGAAGTCTATCATGTACCAAAAAGCCTCAGAAGTACCAAGATTTGAGTCAATCATCAGCTTTTACACTAACATTTTGTCCAGGAAGAAGTTTACTTAAATTATTAAAAAATCATAAAATAGTAGCAAAGGGCTAGGAAAATTATGTTTAGTACTTGATATAAAATGAACATAACATATAGACCTATTATTTCAAATCATTTTAGTGGCTTGAGAATATAAATATCTAAAGTAGAATTGATTTTTATTTTAACTTTTTAGTAACTTTGATCAGAATGTAAAGTCACATTATTCACTCAATGTGCAGCAGGTAGCATGTGAGAGGACTGATTTTCAAAATGGGATTATCTAGAATAAGAAATATGCTGCACATCACATATGAAGAAAATGGCAAATGTGTAGCAAGAAACACTGTTATATTCAATGGTTTCATTCACTTGGAAATATTTTCTTATACGTATTTATTTTTTGGAAAATAAGAATTTAAATTTTTATGATTCTTATAACCCTAGACAAAATTTTAATTATATCATTAAGATCAAACTTCATGGAAAGTGATTCTCTCACAGAGAAAATGTGAAGACCAATGAGTTTAAATATACATGTGTGCGTTGGTTGGAGGGGGTGTGTGTGTGTGGATATCTTCTAGAATGGGAAGTAGAAAAATTTATGAGTACGTCAGAGAAATAAAATTTAACTGAAAAATGACCTTCAAATAGACCTTTAGAGAAAGTCTAAGTGGACAATAAGCAGGGTTATGTTAATTACCATATTTCTATTCAAATAAGACTAATGAAACAGAACTTAAACTATGAGATTTTTTAAATTTCAACTTTTATGATAGGTTAAAGGGTATATTTGCAGGTTTGTTACATGGGTAAATTGTGTGATTCTGAGGGTTGTGGTCCCAACAGTCTCATCACCCAGGCAGCAAGCATAATATCAACAGATCATTCTTCAGTGCAAGCCCCTCCCCCTCCCTCACCCTTCTAGTCATCCCCAGTGGCTATTTCTCCCATCTTTCCATTTCTATGTATTCAACATTTAGCTCTCAGTTATAAGTGAGAACATGTGCCATTTGGTTTTCTGCTCTTAAGATGATTTGCTTAGGATAATGACCACTGGCTCCATTCACGGTTGCTGCAAACAACATGATTGCATTCTTTTTATGACTGTGTAGAATTCCATGTTGTAAATATACCACATTTTCTTTATGAAATTCACTGTGGATGGGCACCTACTTTGATTCTATGTCTTTGCTGTTGTAAATAGCACAGCTGTGAACATACAGGTACATGTGTCTTTTTGATAGAATGAATTAGTTTGTATTGTGTATAACCTTTTAAGCTCTCTAAGAAATCTCCAAGCTGTTTTCCACAGTGACTGAACTAGTTTTCATTTCCACCAACAGTGCATAAGCATTTTCTCTTCTCCACAGACTTGCCAACATCTGCTGTTTTTCAGCTTCTTAATAATCATCATTCTGACTGATGTGAGGTGATATCTCATTGTGGTTTTCATTTGCATTTCTCTGATGACTACTAATGTGGAGCATTTTCTCATCTTTGTTACCTACTTGTTCATCTTCTTTGAGAATTGTCTGCTCATGCCCTTTGCCCATTTGTTAACTGGAGTTTTTGTCTTTTGCTTGTTGATTTAAGTTTCTTGTAGATTCTAGATTCTGGGTATTAGACCTTTTTTAGATACATACTTTGCAAATGTTTTCTCACATTCTGTACTCTATCTGTTTTAATCTTTTGGTAATTTGCTTTCCAGAACCTCTTTATTTTAATTGGGTCCCACTTGTCAATTTGTTGTTGTTGCAATTGCTTTGGGGCACTTGGTCATAAATTATTTGCCAAAACCTATAGCACGAAAAGTATTTCCTAGGCATTGTTTCAGGATTTTTACAGTTTGAGGTCTTAAATTTAAGTCCTTAATCCCGCTTGAGTTAACTTTCATATACGGTGAAAATTAGGGTTCTAGTTTCATTTTCCAGCATATGACTAACCAGCTATCCCAGCATCATTTATTGAATAGGGAATCCTTTCCCATTGCTTAGTTTTGTTGATTTTTACATGGCTGTAGGTGTGCAGGTTTATTTCTGGGTTCTCTAATTTGTTTCACTTGTCTATATGTCCATGCTGTGCCATGCTGTTTATATTACTGTAGCCTTATAGCATAGTTTGAAAGTTGGGCAATATGATGCCTCCAGCTTTCTTTTTTTGTTGTTTAGGACTGCTTTGGCTGTTTGGGCTCTTTTTTAGTTCTATATCAATTTTAGAATTGATTTTTCTAGTTCTGTGAAAATTACATTGATATTTTGATAGGGATTTTCTTGAATCTGTAGTATGGTCATTTATACTATACCGATTCTTCCCAACCATAAACATGAACTATTTCTGTATTTATTTGTGTCATCCATGACTTCTTTTAGCAGTGTTTTGTAGTTCTACTTGCAGAAATCTTTCACCTCCTTGGTTAGATGAACTCCTAAGTATTTCATTTTCTTTGTGGCTATTGAAGCTGAGATCTATTTTTTCTTAAAGAAAAACATTGATTTTTTTTTTCAAAGCATTGTATACAGGAGACCTGAATGTCACAAGAAGTCCATTTGACAGATGGTTGAAAGAAAACACATGTACCTCTTGATCATTTTTATCACCCTAACACTATTAAAATTCACAGATATGTTCTATAATTTCAAAAGGAAAAATTGCAAGATATACATACTCTAGTAGTTGTTGGACCTAGATTTCAAACACTTTTTCAAATTGTCTTAAATAAGTATAGCTCTGAGATGAGACTAACTGCTCTTGACAGCAGGATTATATCAGATCATCATCATCAGAAATGATTTTTAATGTTTATCTCAAAGTCTATGCAGCCTAGATGCTTAAAAGTGTCAGACAGAAGTTTTTCCTACTTAGCTGGTTTAACAGAAGGTTTAATGGAAGAAACCATTGTGAAGGAAATTTGTTCTTAGTACTGATCTCTATATAAATCAGATTATGATAATTTTATGAATCTCTATGTACCCTGTACTGTTTATCAGACATTGTATAGTGTAGCTTTCTGGAGCAGGTTGTGAAGAGGTGACTTGTGACCTTGAGGGCTACAGAAAGGAGTAAAGATAGTAACATCATTTGCATTCATTTTCATAGTACCAAATTTCCTGGATTAAGGTCAACTAAAAATCATTATGAGGCCGCTACTATATAAAGAGTAATATATAATGCAGTGCATAAACATTGTAAGAAAAAATAAACCAAACTATATGATCTTGAGAATAATAATGTTGGAAAGTTCTGCACAAACGAATTTCTACTGGTTACCTACATAATATCACTAATTCTGTCCTCTGGGCCTTAGTTCATGAAATGCCTTTATTGGCTTGGTACTGGCCCCCTTTTTATCAGAATAACTGTTACTTATTCCTATGGCTCAGCACATATGAGTTTTTTTGTTTTGTTTTGTTTTGTTTTTTGAGATGGAGTTTCACTTTTGTTGCCTAGGCTGGAGTGCAATAGCGTGATCTTGGCTCACTGCAACCTCCGCCTCCCGGTTTCAAGCAGTTCTCCTGCCTCAGCCTCCAACCTCCCGAGTAGCTGGGATTACAGGCATGTGCCACCACGCCTGGCTAATTTTGTATTTTTAGTAGAGATGGGGTATCTCCATGTTGGTCAGGCTGGTGTGGAACTCCCAACCTCAGGTGATCCGCCTGCCTTGGCCTCCCAAAGTGCTGGGATTACGGGTGTGAGCCACTGCTCCTGGCCGCGGCTCAGCTCATATGACTTCTAAAGGAACCCTTATTTCATATTCCTTTCTCCTGACTCAGGCTACGACACCACTATCTTTTTTTCTGCTCCTATGGTTCCCTACCCTGTGCTCTAAGCAATGTGAGGGTACAGATCATGCTTACTTGCCCTTCTATCCTCACTCTCTAGCCCAGGGCCAGGCACACAGTAGAAGTCCAAAGAGTGGCCTCAGAAGCAGGGAGTGAATGAATGCATGGGTGCTTCCCTGGCATGCACTTTGGAGGTGCACCATTCTAAACCTTACAAGTCAAAGAAAAGCTTCCCACTGTTGAGGGAAACTCAAAGCATCTGCCACACTACACTTTTGTATAATACACAAATCCTTGGTTTAAATTCATTCACTTTACAGCTCTGGGCTTTGATTTGTGTGGTTTTAATGAGAAGAGGAGAAGTGAAGATGTGGGGGCATTGTTAGGAGAAGGTGCCACATACTTTGAGATAATCATTTCCAGAGGCAAGACAGGCAATATGAGACAAGCACATCCTTTCTCTCGTTTTTAAGTGTGTTTTATATGTTTTTATCTTTTTTTGTGTGAGACGCTTCAGAAGGCCAGACACTTTTTCCCTTACAGCAGCTGAGGTCAGGTTGAAGAGGAATTCAAAACCAATCAATAATAGCATATAAGCATGGACATGTTGGAAATGGCCTTCATTTTCTGTTTCTTTACTTCTTGGCCCTGGATATCGTCAGACATTCAATATGTTACATTGTGAGTCCTTCTGAATAAAAATAAATTAAATTAAATCATATGTCTTTCCCCCTACATTGTACAACTTACAACAGAAATATATTTGTAGATGTGTGTATGTGTGTATTTAGAGAGAAGGAGAAAATCTCATAGTTATATCTGGCTACTAGAAAATAATTATAAATTATATGATCAAGGCCCTTAGTCACTCTATAGACTTCAACCCTCCCTTGGCCCCAAAAGTGTCATGTTTACAGGGGCAACTGAGGAACCTGAATAACGGTCAAGGAAACGGAAAAAAGCGATGATGGTCATAAAGAGATATGGATCATTTATTAAAAGGTTGAGCTGCCACTGAACTTTGTCATAAATTTCAAGAACTTCAAGAACCCCATGTGAAACAGAGACCTGAAGCCGACGTGACCTTCAGACTCCCACCCCATTCATATAGATTTGTAGTTTGTAAAGGGGCAACTGTCTATTGAATGGCCTTACAGCAGTGCCTGTACCTCTGCACATAAATGATTTTTTTTTTGCTTTTAGTGGAAAATGTCTACTATGTAGTTCTAAGACACTGCATAGACTACATAGACTATGACTATTAATGGCCATACTAGTAGACCTTGCAGTAGTAATAGGCTTAGACTAGTACTACTAGTAGACTATGACTAGACTCCTCTGCAGAGAAAGAATCCTCTCCAGAGAGAGGCTTTGTGTAAAATTTTCCTGAATGCAATGAAAATCAAAACATTCCCAGTTAGAAAACACTGTCGATTTCGTTTGATAAGAATAGTAGACTATGGCTGCTATTCATATGAGTAGACTACAGCTCCTATACTTGTGAGATAATGCTGTTTAAATCTCCAGTCTCACAACCTTATTATCCAAAAGGAGAAAAAGAAACAGAAAGATTGTGAAACATCCAGTGAAGCGATAGGGGCTTGTCTTACATGAGAAAAGAATGTTATTATTGCCTCTGCAATCTTAGGTATCACTGGTATTGCCCTTCTAACCATGATTTCTGCTTTAAATATTGGACTGTTTGACATAAAATAGTCAATCCCAATAAAAAGCCATTTGAAATGAGAATAAGTAATATGTGAGTGGGACAGCTGGTGCTGCAAACCTCACCTCATGGGCTCATAATCTGAGATAGCTGGAGTACTACTGGCATTCGTTAAATTAATTGTTAGAGGAAAGTTGAACAAAAACTGCTGTAAGTTGTATTATACATGAAACCTATAAGCATTCTTTATTTATTGAAATGCTGTAATGCTTTTAAATGCAGTAGTATTTTCTTGATTACAAAATAAAGAACACATCTTTTTTTGCTTGTTTTTTGACATAGTTGTTCAAAGTTGGGATAAAAATAGGGATTTAGCTGGAGTAAAAATTAAATGTAAAACTACTTGCCTATCTAAAACAAATTAGGTATTTGATTTTAGAAAATGTGCTTTGAGCCTCACAACTGTTGTGAAGATTGAATAAGATAATTTTTAAAACACTCAGTAGAAAGATGGATATAAAATAATTGCACAATATGAAAATTAATTATAAAAAATAAAGCTACATCATAAATCTTTAAACAAAACGATAAAATTCAATATACCATATTTTTAATTTTTTTTCAATTTCTGACCACCTTTTATATTACATGTTTCATTGCCTTTGACAGTGATGACAAATGGAATAAGATTTTTGTTCACTAGAGGAAGCTCAATAGTATTTATCATGGCAATCAACTTGGAAATTTCTGGTGGGTAAGCGTCACTCAGGTGTCTATCAAACAACAACTCAAGGACTCACATGAATCCTGGTTTCTCCTGTTTTCTTAAAAAATACTGTAAAATCTGGAATTATACAGTAAACATGTTCATTCTGATTGTGAATCCCACTTGAGTCACATGGTATCAGATGGAAAATGAGTAGAAAGGGACAGGAAGCTGCCAACTGAAAGAAGAAGAGCTAGTATGAGTAGAACATTTTGCAAGATGTGGCTTTGATTGTAAGTGAGCCATTTTTAAAATCCTCATTATTTTAGGTTAGTACATGATCTCTTTCCTGAAGGTGAGCAGACTCCAGAGGTACACACTTGGAACCCAGAGTGAACTCTGAAATTCATCTAGAAACCTGCATCATTGAGCATTTGAAATTAATCATCACGATGCACAAGGAGAGCATGCTGAGGCAGAAAGGACAATTTCATTTGAAAATAACAGAATGCACGTTTTAGCTGGGAATATTTTGACTTTCATTGCATTCATGAAAATTCTGCACAAAACCTCTTTCTCTGGAAAGGATTCCTGAGAAAGAGAAGGGCTTCCTATGTGAACATAAAACACCCTCAAAGCCCTGGCTTTATTTATCTGTATGTTTACATTTTCTACTTTTATTTTAGATTCAGGGGATGCATGTGTAAATTTGTTACCTAGGTACATTGTGTTGATGCTGACGTTTGGAGTATAAGTTATCCCATCTAAGTATAGTGCCTAATAGTTTTTCTAGTACTATAGTGTCCAATAATTTTTCAACTCATGGCCCTCTTCTTCTCTTTCCTTCTGGGTAGTTCCCAGTGTCTCTTGTTGCCATATTTATATTCATGAGCACCCAGTGTTTAGCTCCCACATATAAATGAGAACACACTGAATTTGATTTTCTGTTCCTCTGTTAATTTACTTAAGATAAAGGCCTCCACTTGCATCCATGTGGCTGCAAAAGACACAATTTTCTTATTTTTCTGGCTGCATAGTATTCTATAGTGTATATGTACCACATATTTTTTTTTAAATCCAATCCAATATTGATGGACACCTAGGTTGATTCCGTGTCCTTGCTATTGTGAATAGTGCTGCAACGAACATGCAAGTTCATGTGTCTTTTTGGTAGAACAATTTGTTTTCTTTTAGATTTATACACAGTAATGGGATTGCTGGGTCAAATTGCAGCTCTGTTTTAAGTTCTTTGAGGAATTTCCAAAGTGCTTTTCATAGTGGCAGAACTAATTTATATTCCCAAAAAAATGTAAAAGCATTCCCTTTTTTTCACAGCCCTGTTAGCATCTGTACTTTTTTCACTTTTTAATAATAGTCATTAATTAATAATAGTCATTCTGACTGGTGGGAGATGGTATTGCAATGTGGTTTTGGTTTGCATTTCTCAGATTATTACTGATGTGAAGCAATTTTTATATGTTTATTGGCTGCTTGTATGTCTTCTTTTGAGAAGTGTCTGTTCATGTATTTTGCCCATTTTTTATGGGCATACATGTTCCTAGTTTGTTCAACAAAAACATTGTTTAGGTTTCTTATAGAGTTTAGATATTAGACCTTTGTCAGATGCATAGTTTGAGAATATTTTCTCCCATTCTGTTGGTTGTCTTTTTACTCCGTTGGTAGTTTCTTTTGCTGTGCAGAAGCTCTTTAGTTTAGTTAGGTCTCACTTGTCAATTTTTATTTTTGTCGAAATTGTTTTTGAGGACTTAATCATCAATTCTTTCCCAAGGCCAATGTTCAGAATGGTGTTTCCTTGTTTTATTTTGTATTTTTCTAGGATTTTAATAGTTTGAGATTTTACATTTAAATCTGTAATCCATCTTGAGTCCATTTTTGCATGTGGTTAAAGGTAGGAAATGTGTGTGAATTTACTTTTTACAAGGAATGACAAGTCTGGTCCCTAGCTGATTCTTTTGGGAGTTGACTATTCTCATTTACATTCACTGTAATGTTTTTGTATCAATTCACCTTATTACTGGATATCTCCATTGTCTAATGCTATTTAGGCATCCTCTATGGAAGGAACATTAAGTGGTGCTGAATTTAAGATACATGAGCTTGTCAGAGTCACTCTTGCCCTTCTCATTTTCATACTTAGCAGTTTCATTCTTCTGCATATGGCTAGCCAGTTATCAAAGCACCATTGATTGAATAGAGAGTCCTTTCCCCATTGCTTACTTTTGTTGACTTTGTGGAAGATCAGATGCCTTTAGGTGTATGCCTTTATTCTTGGGTTCTCTCTTCTGTTCCATTGTTCTATGTGTCTGTTTTTGTAGCAGCACCATGGTGCTTTGGCTACTGTATAAGTAGCTTACTGTATAAGCCTTATAGTATAAGTGGATAATGTGATGCTTCTAGCTTTGTTCTTTTTGCTTAAGATTTCTTTGGCTATTCAGTCCTTTTATTGGTTCCATATGAATTTTAGCTTACTTTTGTCTAGTTCTGTGAAACATGACATTGATAGTTCAATAGGAATAGCATTAGATCTGTAGATTGCTTTGAGCAGTATGGCCATTTTCATGATATTTATTCTTTTAATCCATGAGCATGGAATTTTTTTTCCATTTGTTTCTGTCATCTGTGATTTCTTTTAACAGTTTTTTATAGTTCTCTTTGTTGAGATCTTTCACCCCCTTGGTTAGATGTATTCCTCTGCATTTATTTTTTTTGTGTTGCTATTTTAAATGGGATTGTGTTCTTAATTTGGTTCTTTGCTTTAATGTTATTCGTGTATAGAAATGCTACTAATTTTTGTACATTGATTTTGTATTCTGAAACTTTATTGAAGTTGTTTATCAGTTCCAGGAGCCTTTTGGTGTGATCTTTAGGGTTTTCTAGGTATAGAATCATATTGTCCATGAACGTAGACAGTTTGACTTCTTGTTTCACTATTTGGATGCCTTTTATTATTTCTCTTACCTGATTGCTTTGGCTACCACTTGCAGCACTATGTTGAATAGGAGTCGTGAGAGTGGACATCTTTGTCTTGTTTCAGTTCTCAAACAGAATACTTCCAGTTTCTGTCTATTCAGTGTGATGTTGGCTGTGGTTTTGTCATATATGGCCCTCATTATTTTGAGGTATGTTCCTTAAAGGCTTAGTTTCTTGAGGATACTTATCATGAAGGGATGTTGGATTTTATCAAAAATAAAATCTGCATATACTAAAATTATAATATAATTTTTGTTGTTAATTCTGTTTGGCTGGTAAATCATATTTATTAATTTGTGTGTGTTGAACCAAGCTTGTATCCCAGGAATAAAGCGTATTTGCTCATGTTGAATTTCTATTTCGATATGTTGTTGAAGTTGGTTTGTTAGTATTTTGTTGAAGATTTTTGTGTCAACATTCATCAGAGATATTGGCCTATATTTTTCTTTTTTGCATTGTATCTTTGCCAGGTTTTGGTGATATACCACATTTTAGAAGAGATTAATACTAGTCATAATGCTCATGAGTCTTGCCATGTCATGAGACAACTTCCAATACAGAGTGTAATTAAATATAAAGTCAAGCTGTTTAGAAACTCTACAGATTTGTTTATTTCCTGATGCATCAAAACTGACAATAATAATTTCAAGAATATATATGTTTCTTTATAACATGGTTCCTTTATTTGACTCCTCAAAGACTGTGTTATAAACAAAAGAAAAGCTATTTCAAAGAGTTTAAATGTCATAAAATTTGGAGAGGAAAAAAAGCTGATAAATTCATGTCTTTCATGATCTTTTTCAAAAGGAAAGGCAAGTATTTAAGTGATCTCTTGAGTCTATTTGGACACAATCAACTCTTAATTATCTAACAATCTGTCAAATTCACTGACCCCCAAATCAGACCTTCCTGGAATTCTGTTTGATTTCAAATTATTTTTAGACTAGCTTTCCTATTTTAGTAACTGTTTTTCTTTCATCATATTTGAGATTTTATTTTATTTTATTTTATTTTTCTTAAATATGCAATTTTAATAAAACAAGAATAAATTTAGATTTATTTAATGTTTGGGAACAATACTGAGACAAAAAATCTTATGGCATTCATTAGTTCTGTTTTACTAATGTGGCTTCTTTACTTTGTTTTCTAATTTTAGAATATATATTCTCTGTATATTAATTTATGCATTTTCTTTTTTTATTTTTCTTTTTTTAAATTATTATTATTATACTTTAAGTTTTAGGGTACATGTGTACAATGTGCAGGTTAGTTACATATGTATACATGTGCCATGCTGGTGTGCTGCACCCATTAACTCGTCATTTAGCATTAGGTATATCTCCTAATGCTATCCCTCCCCACTCCCCCCACCCCACAACAGTCCCCAGAATGTGATGTTCCCCTTCCTGTGTCCATGTGTTCTCATTGCTCAATTCCCACCTACGAGTGAGAACATGCGGTGTTTGGTTTTCTGTCCTTGCGATAGTTTGCTGAGAAAGATGATTTCCAATTTCATCCATGTCCCTACAAAGGACATGAACTCATCATTTTTTATGGCTGCATAGTATTCCATGGTGTATATGTGCCACATTTTCTTAATCCAGTCTATCATTATTGGACATTTGGATTGGTTCCAAGTCTTTGCTATTGTGAATAGTGCCGCAATAAGTGTGCATGTGTCTTTACAGCAGCATGATTTATAGTCCTTTGGGTATATACCCAGTAATGGGATGGCTGGGTCAAATGGTATTTCTAATTCTAGATCCTTGAGGAATCGCTACACTGTCTTCCACAATGGTTGAACTAGTTTACAGTCCCACCAACAGTGTAAAAGTATTCCTATTTCTCCACATCCTCTCCAGCACCTGTTGTTTCCTGACTTTTTAATGATTGCCATTCTAACTGGTGTGAGATGGTATCTCATTGTGGTTTTGATTTGCATTTCTCTGATGGCCAGCAATGATGAGCATTTTTTCATGTGTCTTTTGGCTGCATAAATGTCTTCTTTTGAGAAGTGTCTATTCATATCCTTTGCCCACTTTTTGATGGGGTTGTTTGTTTTTTTCTGGTAAATTTGTTTGAGTTCATTGTAGATTCTGGATATTAGCCCTTTGTCAGATGAGTAGGTTGCAAAAATTTTCTCCCATTTTGTAGGTTGCCTGTTCACTCTGATGGTAGTTTCTTTTGCTGTGCAGAAGCTCTTTAGTTTAATTAGATCCCATTTGTCAATTTTGGCTTTTGTTGCCATTGCTTTTGGTGTTTTAGACATGAAGTCCTTGCCCATGCCTATGTCCTGAATGGTAATGCCTAGGTCTCAGCCCAAAATCTCCTTAAGCTGATAAGCAACTTCAGCAAAGTCTCAGGATACAAAATCATGTACAAAAATCACAAGCATTCTTATACACCAATAACAGACAAACAGAGAGCCAAATCATGAGTGAACTCCCTTTCACAATTGCTTCAAAGAGAATAAAATACCCAGGAATCCAACTTACAAGGGACGTGAAGGACCTCTTCAAGGAGAACTACAAACCACTGCTCAATGAAATAAAAGAGGATACAAACAAATGGAAGAACATTCCATGCTCATGGGTAGGAAGAATCAATATCATGAAAATGGCCATACTGCCCAAGGTAATTTATAGATTCAATGCCATCCCCATCAAGCTACCAATGACTTTCTTCACAGAATTGGAAAAAACTACTTTAAAGTTCATATGGCACCAAAAAAGAGCCCGCATCGCCAAGTCAATCCTAAGCCAAAAGAACGAAGCTGGAGGCATCACGCTACCTGACTTCAAACTATACTACAAGGCTACAGTAACCAAAACAGCATGGTACTGGTACCAAAACAGAGATACAGATCAATGGAACAGAACGGAGACCTCAGAAATAATGCTGCATGTCTACAACTATCTGATCTTTGACAAACCTGAGAAAAACAAGCAATGGGGAAAGGATTCCCTATTTAATAAATGGTGCTGGGAAAACTGGCTAGCCATATGTAGAAAGCTGTAACTGAATCCCTTCCTTACACCTTATACAAAAATTAATTCAAGATGGATTAAAGACTTACATGTTAGACCTAAAACCATAAAAACCCTAGGAGATTTTATGAAAGATATGTTTTTATTGTCTAGATGGTTGACTGTGTTTTGTGGTATAATTTTATGGTGTATATTACTTGCTATATTTAAAAATATGGACTCGTTTTTTATTTTTTTAATTTTCCACATATATATTACTTACTCAATGAAGTGCAATGCCAAGTCAATGATGACTGTATGTATTAACTGTTAGCATGATGGCATTGTCAGTAAGAAAGATATTATCAGCCTCTGGCCAGTCCCTCAAGACTGCTTTTAAAATCTGTCAGGCTAAAGGCAGGAAACCATTTTGTTTGCTGTACAGAATTCCAGCAATCGCTGACTGTGCACTGGCAGCGTTGTGTGTGCTGGCATTGGCCTTCCCTCTTGGGTACAATGTTTTGAGCATTGCTGCCATTTAAATTCTTGAAATAGAATGGATCAGTTCCAAGTGGCATGATTGGTACAGGCAGTGCAAGTTTATTAGAGAGACTGAGGTTTGCCCTTGATCCCGAAAGAACTGTTACTTAAGTCTTAAAAAAACTTTATGTTGTATGAGAGCAAGTGGTCTATGGCATCCATTTTATGCTGATAATACTGCAATGACAAAATGCAAAATGTGGTAGCATGAACACAGAATGCATGCTTTAACCTAGCCACATAAAGCTTAACATGCTGCTGCTAGCAAAGTAAAACAAAGCTAGATCTATACTTTTATAACTATGTTCATATTTAGGCAATTTAATATTGAGTGCTTTATATGAATTTGACACATCTCTATTATGTGAAAACTATCATCTTGCCAATATAGTTTTTAATCTATATTGAGATGCTTACTTTTGGCACAAGATGGCACTTTAACTTCAGAGATTCAATGTAATCTCAATCAGTTTTCTCATTGCAAATGGAAAATATTCAGTAATTCATCCTTTGAAAACAGAAACCAGAGCTAGAAACAGGCAAAGATAAGCAGAGAACAATTTTGTAATAGATAAGTTGTTTACATTATGATGCAAGCGAGGGTGAATGGTGGAGGTGTGAGGGCAATTGCTGCAATAATCTTTTGTTTAATGAGTTTGAAAATTAGAAATTTGAAAATTATTTATTTTACATGTGAGCAAAGTACACCTCCAGAAGTATTTTTCATTTTAAAACTCATAGAGTTTCTCATCAATTTCATTTTCTTGAGTCATGTCTAAGATATTGTATTGTGACTCAGAAAATCTCACAATTGTTTGTATCATGTTACCTCACAAGTTACTTATAGTCTTATTGCTTCCATTACTACTGTTGCTGCTGCTGCGTGTGTGTGTGTGTGTGTGTGTGTGTGTGTGTGTGTGTACTTACTGTTTTCAAGGAGTGACAATACTGGTCCCTAGTTGATTCCTTTGGGAATTGACTGTTCTCGTTTACGTGCCTCGTAAAGTTTCTGTATCAGTGCACCCTATTACTGGATATCTCCATTGTCTAGTGCTATTTAGGCATCCTCTTGGGAAAGAGCATTGAGTGGTGCTGAATTTAAGATGCATGAGCTTGTCAGAGTCACTCTTGCCCTTCTCACTTTCATACTTAGCTGAAAGCATTGTTAACTCATGGCATTCCTTGTTCTTCATTTTACTGAATGATTTTAGACTCGATATTTAAAATTATTGGAACAAATTTGGACTACCTCTACACCTGCTAATATTCATGATTGCTAAACCGTTATAAGGAAGGAAATAGTAAAGAAAAAAGGTTAAATAATCTAGCATAATTGAACTTTTTATGAACTATATACATACTTTGCTTCATTGTTTTTAAGAAGCACATAAAATAAAAGTATAGTAGAATCACAGATTGGAATTATTTAAGGGCATGTAATAATCACAATGACATCTTTTATTCATATGGTGAATACATGTTTACTGAGCATTTTTATATATACTCTTTCTTTTCTAAAACAAATATATTAAATCTTTTATTAAATGAATGGAAATTGTATCCCGGTTTCCTCATTTATATGTGTGTACAAAATTTCTGTCCTATCTGCCTCAGACAGTTTTTTTTTCTGTCTTTTTGTTAACTTCACACCCACAGTTGTGAGGATTTTTGATCTGTTTTGTTTTGTTTTTGAGACAGAGTCTACTTCTGTCGTCCAGGCTGGAGTGCAGTGGTGCCATCTCGGCTCACTGTGACCTCCGCCTCTCCAGTTCAAGTGATTCTCCAGCCTCAGCCTCCCAAGTAGCTGGGATTACAAGCATCCACCACCATGCCTGGCTAATTTTTGTATTTATAGTACAGACAGGGATTCACCATGCTGGCCAGGCTGCTCTCGAACTCCTGACCTTAAGGAATCCACCCACCTTGGCCTCCCAAAGTGCTGGGATTACAGGCATGAGCCACCGCACCCAGCCTAGTTATAAGTTTTTAATTGGAACAACTGAGTTCATTCTTGCTAATTTAGGGGTTTATGTGATGATACTTCATGGGCCTTGCAATGGCTAGGGAAGATAGGCTTGAATGCTACACTCAAAACAAACTCATCTGCAACAGAGCCCATCACACCACAGGACTGTTCTGTCAACAGTTGCTGCTCAGTGCTTATCATATTGGGATGGGCATGTGGAGTGATCCTAGAAGAAGCAGATACATTTGCCACCCTTCTTACCAGAAGACGACTCTCTCACACAGTCATTACTTCATGTTGCTCCCTTCCACATCTTTATTTCAGGGAGTACCATAGGGTTGGTAAAACAGTTGGGATCACGTGACTGCATCCCAGCTTTAAGGGCATCTGGAAATGTAGCATTTTTCCCTTACAAAAGCACAATGTGGAAAATGTCAGTATACATAGAAATGGTTCAATGGGCAGGTGGCTAAAATGTTTTTTTGTTCTGCTGTTTCAGAAACAGAATTCAGAAATTGGAACTCAGAAATTTTGAGGTTCAGTTTTTATAAAGAACATCCTATCAGCCCTGAAATTGCTAATATACTCAAAATTATAATATTTTAATATTTAAATTATCTGCATTGTTAAGATCTCTTGGGAAATCTCAGCACTAACTAGGATTATTACTATGTATTAGAAATATTCATTTTAAAATGAGAAACCTGAGTTTCATTTTAGTAGAGATGTGCTTATTATGTATCCCTAAGGCTAGAAAAATTTTTGGCACAAAGGCAAAATCAGTTGGCTCTAGCAGCAGCACAAAAAATAATAATTAAAAAAAGCAAACTTCTTGCCAAAATTCTGGCCTTAGTATTTCAGAAGGAAGTATTATTTGAAAGAAATAATCATTTGTTATTGGATCTTATATGGAGAAAAATGGCCTATAGTCCCATAAATTTCTAACTGAAACACTCCTCAGTGCTACTTACCAATTTTGGTTGATTATATGTAAATCTTAAATTGTTGCAATCTCTTCTCACAATTTTTTTACGCCCTGCATAGAGGTGGGCACTGATATCTTCCCCTCCCTTCTGGGCTTTGCAAAGTCATGTTTTCTATTGCATTGCATTACTTTACTCTCGCTTCTATGGCTAGCATAAGAAGCATCACGAGAGTTATTTAATTGATGTGGTCAGCCATTAGGCTTTTGTTAAAGTTATAAAACTCTATGGAGTGCATGTGTCTTTTGCAGATACCTCTAGCTCTGATTATTTCTTAAATAGTGAAGTTCATTACTGGCAGAAACCGAATGAAAAAAATAATGGAAAACGAGATGTTCTGATTCATGAAGTTGGAGAGGAAGTAGAAATAGTTCAGAATACATAAAAAAGCCTCACGGATTAGAACCAGGGCTTTAGTACTACCAGAAATGTTTTTCTTTTTCTGTCTTCACTCCTATTAATTTTGTATACAGTCTCTATCCACATGGCAGAAACAATGATAATTGGCAAATCCAGTTTTCTATCACTCAAGTAAGTAGTTCTAGAGATAAAATGGTGTTTTACTCCTGGCAAGCATATTTCCAGACTTAGAGAACAATATGATTGAACATATTGGGGTTACCTGTCAATAGATTGATAACAATTATCAGCAGTCTAGGGCATTAGAATTTCTGAGCTTGAATCAGAAACCAGCTTTATATTCTGGGGAAGAGATTGCTCTGACCGACAACCACACTAGGACCACAAACAATCGATAAACTCTTCCCAAAAGAAAGGGTTATTTTTCAGAACACAAAGAGTAAGAGACCACTAGGTTACCCAGTTTTCTGCCCTACAGTCTTCTCATTCTGTAGACACTGATGAGTATTCTATTTTGCTCATACCCTTTAATCTCTCCAAGTTTCACGAGCCTGAAACACTAAATAATATTATAGCAATACTCAACATTTTAGTGACTCCAAACTTTTGTCAGCTCAGCAAACATTTGAATATTTTAATAGTTTTCTGAAAAGTGTTTATAAAGTGTTTACAAAGGAGAGAAGCCATATGAATTACAGTAATAGAATACCCACTATATGAAAGAGAACATCAGCAGTAAGGAGAATTAATTCTACAAGAGCTGTTGTATTTCTTCAGTATCTAAGTATTAATGAGTTTACAGTAAATGTATGGATAATCATTTTATTATTCCTTTTTCCACAAACAACTATAAGATTAGGTAAGGCCTCCTTGTTTACATTCCCAGAGTACTGTTTTAATGATTACATCCAAAGAAGATGGAGAAAACTTGTAGTAAATAGTACTTACATTATAGTAATTAGTAATTAATTAGTTCTTAAATTAGTAAGTACTGTGATGTCCCCACCTACTCCCCAGCTGTATGAGGCTGATCAAATGCAATATTTAATAGTATTAAGGTGCAAAATGAAGTTTAAAAATAGATAAGTCATTGTATTATTCTCCCTTACCTGTAGTAGTGTGAAAAACTTCTCATAAATGTATCTTAGGCTTGGGGTCCTATAATCTAGAAATAGGGAAACGGTGAAAGAAAAAAAATTGAATTAATTCTAAATGCCCAGATAATATACGATGGCCTTAAAACTTTGGGAATATCCCACAGAGCAAAGACTGTGTAGCTCTCTGAGATGAACCTAAGTAATTTCTATCTATTCAACAAGGGTTTAGATGGTTTCAGTGCTGATGTTTGACATGGAGATTATAGGCAGTCTCAGATTATTCAAGGAATAAAGCTTCTGGATTTCATCTCTAGAATTCAGTAGGGTTTCTTTCTGGGGAGGAGTCTAAAAGTATTTTTTCTATACACATTTGCTAGATATAAGCCCTCATCAGCCTCACTTGTCTGCAAAAGCCATTTAGACAAATACAGATATAGAATATTCCAAGGTATTAGTGTTCAGTGGTTGTTTAACATCTCAAAAATATTGATTGAATTATAATTACATCTAGTATATTTAATCATTTTTTTGTTCATAAGAAGCTCATAAATTATGCATAGACAATAATTAATGAGACATATCACAGTATTTTCTGTGATCATTTTCTTCCATGACAACCTGGCACATAATCTTACAGGTCACATTTATAACTCTCTGTGTTCCTTGTCCATGTGTCTCTATCAGCCACTTCCTTATAACACATATTTTTAAATTATTTGTATAAAGGTAGTAGTAGATGTTTATATGTTTAGGAGGCAAACATGAATTCAAAGTTTGCATTGAAAACTTGTAGGCTTCTGTTAGACATTTAAGAGCCAGACATTGTGCCATGTTTACCACTGAATTTTTACCACATAACATCTAGTTTATATTAAAGTTTTAGTCAACATTTATTAAATAAATAAAAAAACCAAATATTTATTTCTTTGTCAACAATAAAATCATAGGCATACTCAGAGTCACCCATAATGGGCTCATTTTGCTTCTTCGTATTCTTTGGAAACTCATTATAGACACAGTGTCCAAGATTGTCATTTTTTTTTCAACTATTTTTTTAGATTCAGGGGATATATGTGAAGGTTTGTGAGCAAGGTATATTGTGCGACGCTGATATTTTGGGTTCAAATGATCCTGACATTCAGTTACCGAGCATAGTACTTACTAGCTTTTTTACTTTTGCCTCTCTCTCCCTCCTTGCTTAAGTAGTTCCCAGTTTCTGTTGTTGCTCGCCATCTTTATATCCACAAGTACCCAGATATTGGCCCCTACTTATAAGTGGAAACATGCATTATTTGGTTATTTGTACCTGGAATAATTCGCTTAGGATAGTTATATCCAGGTGTATCAATACAAATGCAAAGGACATGATTTCATTCTTTTTTTATGGCTGAGTCGTATTCCACGGTGTATATGTACTATGTATTTTTGTATCCAATCCAACGTTGATTGGCACCTAGGTTGAATGCATGTCTTTGCTGTTGTGAATAGTGCTGTGATGAACATGCAAGGGCTTTTCTGGTTTTGTTTTGTTTGTTTGTTTTTTGTTAGACGGAGTCTCGCTCTGTCGCCCAGGCTGGAGTGCAGTGGCGCGATCTCGGCTCACTGCAAGTTCCACCTCCCAGGTTCACGCCATTCTCCAGCCTTAGCCTCCCGAGTAGCTGGGACTACAGGCACCTGCCACCACGGCCAGCATTTTTTTTTTTTTTTTTTTGTATTTTTAGTAGAGACAGGGTTTCACCTTGTTAGTCAGGATGGTCTCCATCTCCTGTCCTCGTGATCCACCCTCCTTGGCCTCCCAAAGTGCTGGGATTACAGGCGTGAGCCACCGTGCCCGGCCGCAAGTGATCTTTGTTAGAACAATTTGTTTTCATTTGGATACATACCCAGTAATGAGATCGCTGGGTCAAATGGTAGTTCTGTTTTAAGTTATTTGAGATATCTCCAAACTGCTTTCCACAGTGGCAAAACTCATTTACATTCCTACCAAAAATGTATAAGCATTTCCTTTTCTCCACAGCTTTGCCAGCATCTGTCGTTTTCTGACTTTTTAATAATAGTCATTCTGACTGAAAGAAGATGGTATGGCAATGTGGTTTCGATTTGCATCTCTCTGATAATTTATCATGTGAAGCATTTTTTCATATGTTTATTGGCTGCTTGTATGTCTTCTTTTGAGAAGTGTCTGTTCATATATTTTGCTCATTTTTGATGGGCATATTTGTTGTCAGCTCATTCAATCGTCTAAGTTTCTATAGATTCTAGATATTAGACCTTTATCAAATGCATAATTTGAGAATATTTTCTCCCATTCTTCAGGTTGTCTTTTTACTCAGTTGATAGCTTCTTTTTTCTGTGCAGAAGCTCTTTAGTTTAATTAGGTCCCACTTGTCAATTTCTGTTTTTTTTTTCACAATTGTTTTTGAGGACTTAGTTATAAATTCTTTCCCAAAGCCGATGTTCAGAATGGTATTTCTTTGGTTTTCTTTTAGGATTTTTATAGTTTTAGGTCTTACATTTAAATCTACAATCCATCCTGGGGTCACTTTTGCATATGGTGAAAGGTATTGTTCCAGTTTTATTCTTCTGCATATGGATAGTCAGTTATCTCAGCACCATTGGTTGAATAGGGAGTCCTTTCTTCATTATTCATTTTTGTCAACTGTGTGAAATACCAGATGGCTGCAGGTCTATGCCTTTACTCCTGGGTTCTGTCTTCTGTTCCACTGCTCTATGTGTCTGCTTTTGGACCAGTTCCATGTTGTTTTGGCTACTGTAGCCTCAGAGATTAGTTTGAAGTGTGTAATATGATGTCTCTAGCTTTGTTCTTTTTACTTAAGATCGTTTTGGCTATTCAGGCCCTTTTTTTCAGGTTCCATATGAATTTTAGCATAGTTTTGTCTGGTTCAGTGAAACATGTCATTGATTTTTTTACAGGAATAATGTTGGGTGTGTGGATTGGTTTGGGCAGTATGACCATTTTAATGATATTGATTCTTCTAATCCATGAGCATGGAATGTGTTTTTCATTTGTTTGTTTCATCTATAATTTCTTTTAGCAGCGTTTTATAGTTCTCCTTGTAGAGATCATTCACCTCCTTTATTAGCTGTACTCCTCAATATTTCATTTTTTGTGGCTATTATAAATAAAATTGTGTTCTTGTTTGGCTCTTTGCTTTAATGCTATCCATATATAGAAGTGCTACTGATGTGTGTACATTGATCTTGTACCCTGTAACTTTATTGAAATCATTTATGTGTTCCAGGAGACTTTTGGTGGAGTCTTTAGTGTTTTCTAGGTATGGAATAATATTTTCCACGTAGAAAAATAGTTTGATTTCTTGTTTTCCAATTAGGAAGCCTTTCATTTCTTTCTCTTGCCTGATTGCTCTGGCTAGCCCTTTCAATACTATGTTGAATATGAGGGGTGAGAGTGGGCCTCCTTGGTTTGTTTCAGTTCAACGGGAATACTTCCACTGCTTTCCCATTTGGTATGATGTTGGCTGTGGGTTCGTCACAGATGGCTCTTATTATTTTGAGGTATGTTCTTTCAATGTCTAGTTTCTTGAGGGTTTTTATCATGAAGTGGTATTGGATTTTATCAAAAGCTTTTTCTACATCTATTGAGATGATCATGTAATTTTTTGTTTTAATTCTGTTTATGTGGTGAATCACATTTATTGATTTGTGTATTTTGAGTCAACCTGTCATCCTAGGAATTAAGCCTACTTGATTATGGTGAATTAACATTTTGATGATCTGTTGGATTCAGTTTGATAGTATTCTGTTAAGCATTTTTGCTGCTATGTTCATAAGATATATTGGTATGTAGTTTTCTTTTTTCCTTGTGTCTTTGCCAGCTTGCAGTATCAGGATCACGCTGCCTTCATAGAATGAGTTAGGGAGGAGTTTGTTCTCCTCTATTTTTTGGGAGACATTCAAGGGTATTGGTATTAGATCTTCTTTTTATATCTGGTAGAATTTAAGCATCCAAGTTTTTTACTGGGACAGCCATGTAGGCACTTTGGTTATCATGCACCAAAATTCTAGACTCCCAGAAGGAGATTAAGTGTTGCATAAATCATGCCATTTTTATAAAAAGTTTATTCACAGTGATACACTCTCATCAATTAGAGAAAGTTTTATATCAGTGTCGTTAACTTTACCAGTCCAGTTCTCAGATGGAAACCAAGGGCCAACTTTGAAGCAGACTTTTTCAATGATAGTTTCTCAGGCCTGCTGTGTTAGCTTTTTTCTGCACACAGGTTCTGTCTCTTCCAAGCTTGCAACTTCATTAATTTATTTTCTGTTATGTTGGAATATATGGATTTGTCCTCAATTATTTTTTTTCTTATTACTATCATCACCGTTTCTATTATTTCTAAAAGATAACATTTAGTTACAGGGTGTATTTTGGGTAATTAAAATCTTCTAGAATTAGTGGTGAGAGCTGTACAACTTTGTGACTATACTACAAATGACTGAATGTTACACCTTAAGAGGTCATTTTTAAGGTATATCAATTATATCTTAAAGAAAATTTAATGTATTTTTTCAGATCTATTTGAAAGTTTTCTTTTTTTTTAAAGATATTTGTTTAAATAGTGCTTTTCTCATAACAATATCATTCCCTTGGCTCCAAGCTAAATACAATTTTCCAGATTAAAATTTTTCATGGAGAGGGGCATTCATAAAATCTTCACAGTAGTGGTATGGTGGTAACTTTTTGTGGATTGTATTTTATACTGTGCAAATGAAGTTTATGTATATTATTTAACTTTATCCCTCACAACAATTCTTTTTGCTCATTAGGCAATTGGATAATCAAAAATATAATATTTGTATTTATTAATGCTATAATTTGTTCAAAGGACATGACTAGAAGTTTGTCATTTAAAGAGATTTGTCATTTAGAAGACCTTAGTGCAAAGTCTTCTAAGTATGATGTCAGGAGATATCTCAAGCTCTGCACAGATTTGTATGAATCGCTTTGAAAAAGATTAGAACTTTTCCAGGTAGGTACAAAGAACAGATTACCCAGTCTCCTGAAAATGACACAATGCATTCTCTCATTTAAGGTTTTAATTGCATACTGAACTGTCTTCATACTTACTAGTAGCTCAAAATAATAACCATTTTATATTTTTCTGTATATTTTGTGGGCAAGGAAATTGGGATAAGTCCAAATGGATTATAGTTCTTCCCCATGTAGCATGGCAGATATAATTTGGTGCTATTCAGCTAACAACTGAGCTCATCTAGTGGGTCCCTGCCAGTTTCGCTCAAATGCCTGGTATCTTGTTGGGGATAGAAGAAATGTGTGCCACAGATTACTCTATCATGGTAGAAAGACATTTTAAATGGTGGCTCAAAGCTCCAAAAGACCAAAGCAGAATCTGTTGTTACCCTAAAAGGCAGGGCCACGAGCTTCACAGCAGTAGTTTACTTATTATACTCTGCTATTGAAGGCAGTTACCAGCCAGCCTAGACTCAAGAACAGCCACCACCTTTCAATGCAAGAAGTGTCAAAAAAATGCGTGGTCATGTTAAATCCACATAATTTCTCGCAGATGATTTTGTGATTTTATGCTTGCTTTTATGGTGCGGACCCGATGACTAGCTCTTCAGACCTTCAGCAGTAGCCTGTGACTTGATAACCTAGGAATTTGCTTGCATATCTTAGGTGAGTAACAGGATAAGACAACATAAAATTGGCCAGGAAATCCCCTGGGTAATTGCTAAAATAAACCTTTTAAACCTCTCACTTCTGCCCTTCGTTATTAAACACAAACATTTCTTATGAGGCATTCATACGAACCCATCAGTGAAAATTTAGAATGAACAATTCAGTACATTCTGCCTGGTAGCTAGGCTAAATAATTAAAGGTTTATCAAAGATAAGGTCAGACATACTTACTGCTTCAAAAAGCTGTCCCCTTCCTAGTGAATGCAGGATTAGTTTAGCACACTGACCTCTTTGGAGCCCCAGAATACATGAAGCAAAGCTTTAATATATTTTAAAGGTGTGAGAAAAGTGGAGGGCAGAGATTTCAAATCCATGAAAATGAAAATTCCAGGCAAAAACAAAAACAGTAGGATTTAAGTTTTATGGTGTCTGGGGCAGGCATTTGTATAGAAAATTGTTCTGAAAGAGCAGCATGAGAAAGGAAGACAAACTTCATTTACTTTACACTTTTAACTAGGACATTCTCCAGCTAAAGAGTTGAAAGAAAACACCATGACTTAGTTTAAATATTTCCATGCTCCAATTTTTACACTTAATAAATGGGAATATGTTTAATTCTGCCTTACGTTAGGAGTCTCAAACACTTTGGCATCGGTGAATATTGTTTAATTATTGATGTAACTGGTCTTTGACTATAAAATACTCTATGTGTTATTAAAATATTCCCAATATTGATTTGCTATGTAATTTATTTAATACTTATTGAACACTTACTTAGAGCAAGGCCTTGGAAAATTAAGTTTTAAAAAGCTTGAAGTTAGAAATTTAGAATGAATATAAGTTAGTGAAATAAATCAGTATCATTTTTTGTCCTTATCTTTCTTTTCATTTTTGGAACAGAATTAGACTTTTGTTGTTGTTGTTTTTATAAAGAGTGTTTTGACCTTCTTCAAAAAGTTTCCAATCCATTAGAGAGATCCAGACTTCATGGCGGATACCTGGGACTATGAAATGTGCACTTGCCCAAGGTGACAGAATACTGTCATGCAGTGTTTGTTGGCTTTTAAAAATAAACATTGTCATGTCCGAACAAGTGAAAAAAATAGCTACCCCTGCTGTACTTCCAGCTTCTTCTCTGTTTGCTGTCCAGAAGCTCTCTGCCTGAGGTTGAAACACTGAATGGTTCTCACATACGTCTAAATGCATTCCTTGCTGTGAAGCAGGATGGAAACTGGATGTTTCTTATGGTCTAAATTTCCTTGCAATATTATGAACTTTTCTTTTCCTCCCAAAGGGCAAGATAAACAAAGTAAACAAAGAAATAAGGCACATCTTTTAGCATGCTCTGTATTGTAGACTTTAGTTTCTACCTCCTTCACTATGACTCTTAAGAATCTGTGACAATAGTCTTTCTTGAAAAGTTTTCTTGATATTCCAATCCAAGTTTTATTCACTCAGATTCTATTACAGTATTCGACTTCATGTTTCATGTACCACTCATAACAATATATTTATCTCCTCTATGTTCCAAATTCTTGGAGGCCACTGAGTTATTTCATTTCAAAGTTTAGTTGTTGGTTATCCAGAAGACAGAGACACAGAGATAAGGTTCTCCAAAGAACCTTACTGCACATTTGAGAACCATAGTTTCTAGGCTCAAATATCTCATTTGAGAACCACAGTTTCTGAGCTAAAAATATAAACACCTTCATAAAATAATCCAAAAATCTCTTCAAACACAAGATTCATTACACACACACACACAGAGAGAGAGGGAGACAGAGAGAGAGAAATAATGAAGCGTTAAAATTGTTAAAATCTCTCAATATGTGTAAAATCTAACATCCGTTTAATACAATGATGAATAATTGATGCCACAAAAGATAAGGCTGAGGTTATTAAATGTCTAAAAAGTCTATAGATTATCTAGGTTCATTTGCATGATTTCTAGTCCAAAAGAAAGGTAGGGTATATGTAACTAATTGTAAATCTTGAAAGTATAAATAATTTGCATTTAATTATTAATGTAACTGATCCTTGGCTATTCAGTGTTGCTCTACACTGTTGCATCAAGAAAATTTCGAGGATATGAAGAGAAGAGATGGGAAAAACAGCAAGTTCTAATGGGAAAAGTACTGTAGGATAAAAGTAGTACTGCTTCTCTCTGAACCCACTTTCCCTGTTCTCCTGAGCTACCCACATTTACAACAGTCAAGTTTCCAGGAGTGTCACAAAGTTCCAGTTCTATTTCAGGCATGTGTTAATATAAAAGAAATAGCTCTTTACAAGATCATGATCTTGTAAACCGTAGGTCACTATGGTTTCTGGAAACTGCAGACTCTCTATCAACTGCAGTTAATACTGTTTATCAAGGAACCCAATCTAATATGAAACAAGAGGGGCTAGAAATTAGTTACAGACTCCCAGAGACAGAATCAGACAAAGTTAACAATATCCATCTGAGTTTCAGAATTACAAAAAGTTGGAAAATTTGTAGGTAGTCAAAAGATTCAAGGGTTAGGATGTCCAAAATTTATTCACTGATTTAAAATAATTCTACAAATATTTATTTTGCTAGTCACTGTGCTAACTAAGCACTAAGGATAAAGTACTAACAAAAATGGTTTCTCCATTTAATTTTATATTCTCATGGGAGACACAGGCACTGAAAATTCATATAAATAAATTACAACTTAAATATATGATATAAAACAAAAAATACAGCAAGCTACTTGAGGCTAAAAAGAGATATGTTTTCTTCCCCTTAGCTATGGAGCTGGGGAAGAGAAGGTAAAGCAGGACATGCTGCTAATGCTGTGAAATATCACAGATTCATTGCCTTTCAGGTGACAACCCCAAGACAGAGTGGTAGATGCCTGTTTCTCAACTGCATTTGCATAGTTCTTGTTGTGTCACCAACCAAGCCAGATTTCCTGGGGGCTGGAAAGTTGACTGGCTGACTACTGTGTATATCCACGGAGGACTTAAGACAGAGGAGAAAATTACATCACTGGTTGAATCCACAAATAAAATTTGAATTTCTCATGGAGAAGATTTTTCCAAAGTGTAACATATGATTGCAGTGAAGAGTGAGTCTTTTGAAGCTTGTCATTTTTCCCAAACTGCTTCTTATATCCGCTTCCATGTTTTTTTCTATTAGCACTACTCATTCCCAAGCTTATCTGTTTTTCTTATGTGCTTCTTTATTATTACCAATGAAAAATGACTTAGTAATATTTCTTATGCATTCATAAAATATTCAAGTTTTGCTGCCATTAAAAATACCATGTAGATATTTTGGCCTTCTGTCAAAAGTTAATTTCCAAGACAATTTTAAGTACAATACAGCTGTTAAAACTGTTTAAATAGCCATCCTCACCCTTTTAAATTAATAGAAGACACTAGTCAGAATAGCATACTGCTGTTGTACATGATCTCAACATCTCTTTAAATTGGTGAAGAAATAGATTTGAGGCATTCTGTAATGTAACTAGGATATAGGTTAAAATTTTGAATAAAATGATGTTAAAATATGTATATTTCTCTTAATATTTAAAGTTTCAAAGTCCCCATCATTATACACTATGTTTTTATCCTTCTCTTCAGTACATGTGATTAACATTTCTAGCTGAAGTGGAAATAGGAAATTGTCATGGCTAAATTGCTTCTTGTTAATTCACTTTCCATTACAATGTGTGTAGTAAAATCTCAATGTGCTCAATCATTTCCAGGAACAAGAACCACTTTATGTTTTTTGTTCATTCTCTTTAAAAGTTTTGATTTGATTAATCATAAGGTGCCTGAACATTCGTTCGAAAGCTGTGCCAAGTATCTTCAAAGTCACTGGTGTGTAGAAATAAAATACACACTCTCAAGTTATTTTAAAACATAAAATGCTGACTTTAAAGGTTCTAATACTTCTGTGACATAAATGCTATTTGTATCAGATGTAGGCATCTCTGAAACTCACCAATAAACATAGCTAGATTTCTATGTTGTAGAAACCATCTGAAATATACATTTAGGCTCTTAGGTATGAACCATTAATATATTTGTTGTGGTTTAAACCTTTATAACTAAAATATTCATCCTGAAAAAATACTATTCCATTAAGAGCTAATCAGAATGCTTCTGCTTTAATTGTATAATTAAGGTTCCTGTTTGATCCTTACACACATGCTCCTGGAGCTGTGCGGCACATGCTTCAGTTTGTCCAGCTTTATCAGCCCTGGCTCTACTTTTCTCACTTTTCTCACTCCAGCCTCATTAGCTAGGTGACTTTGGGCAAGTCTGTTAACCTCCGTGGACCTCAATTACATCTTCTATAACAGGAAGAAGTTGGAATAGAAGCCATCTCAATTATAATCTAATACTGATGTTCTATGATGAATGGCAGCCTTTAGTTAATAGTGAAACTCTCTCAGTACTCTGATTCTAAACAATTACTTTACTTAAGTTAATTTGAATAAAATGATCACAGCCTTACTGCATGTTAGCCTTGGCTGTATTTTTTAAGTATAGTTTCATAATATCTCAGTAAGATATAAATTAGAAAACTTGGTAAACAACATTAGCTCATTCATTAAGGTAATATTTCAATATTCTGAATATAGAAAATGTAGAGTTCTCCAATCTGAATAATTGGCATGCTCACATGAAACTAATGTATTCACATGAATAATAGGAGTTCTTTGTATCCCATTTGTTCACCCTACTCTACTCCAGAAGCTGAACAATAGAGCAATACATTAAGGAGCTAAGTGACACCTAAAATATCCTGAGCACTTTGTTGTTCATAAAGCTGTATTTAAGAACTTTATTGGGCCCCAAGCTGAAGCTTCATGCATTTTCCCCTAAAATATCAACATTAGAACTTGCCAATAAGGGAATTCGGGTTCTTAAAGCTTAGCTAGCCAGACACAGGAAAATCATAACCTGTAATGATCTGTCCTGCATTGAGAAAGAGACCTTTCTCAAGGAAGGCTCAGAATGAGGCAAGAGTATGGTGAGGGAGTGGGAGAGTGAGAGAGACAGAGACAAGGAGGGGAGGGGGAGAGAGAGAGAAGGAGAAAGAGAGAAAGAGAATTGACCATGTTACAGACATAGAAATTGAGGCTCCGAGAATAAGAGACTTTCCTCATCAGAGTATTAAGAAGGTATAAGAATGGTCTGTTTAGTGCTAAATCTGGTCCCTTTCACTTCCACACTCTCTTGCTCTTGCAGGCACAAGACATAGATACATGTTGATGTGTACTTCACAGCCACTAAGTGAGCCTCCATTTTATACTTTGATGCTTCCTAATCCTTTATAAAGAGAAAAAATGTATCAGTGTAAAACACAATCAAAGAATCAGAGTATAATTTTAGGACATATGGATACGTAAAGACATTACTCAAATAGAGTATGTTTAATTTTATTGAGCTTACGGTTTATGAAAAAAACAGAAAATGCATTTTGCAATAAATTTTCATGTGGGAATTTGGATATCAAGACTAATTTAAACCCTAGTTTGTCTTCTGATAAGCATCATTAGGCAATAAGTTAGAGACTCCTGAGCACTATAGCACCTTCATTAAAGGCATCCTTGAAGGTGGCCTTGCACTTTACATCTTCCACCCCAACTCCATTCCCCAACAAATTATTTAGCTGGAAAGCATACAATCTCTGATTGAAATTGTGACTAGACCAGTATGAGCCAGGCATGGGCTGACGCACAGTCCCAGTGATTTAACTGCTTTGTTGTGCAGTGCTGAACAAGCCCAGTAATAAGTTCTGACCGATTCTTTGGAAGGAAAAGTAGTTGCCCCAAGCGATAGAGCTCACTAGTAGGGGACACCAACTATTTGCTTCACTAGGCTAACAGCCTCCCCTTTATCAAACTGAGGGTGGGGAGGCATACTGTGAGAACCTTACAAGCTGAAGATATGTATTTATGAAATCCTTTTAGTATGTAAATAGTGACTTTAAAGGACAGCCAAGATAAAATACATTTAAGTTGAATTGCTTTTCTCACTGAACAAAGTTGTGGAAATCTTGTCTCAGAAAAATGTCCCAGTAAATTTGTATTCATGAGTACTTTTTTTACTTAATAATATTTACTTTTGTAAGTACTTAAATATATTATAATTTATTTATATAATATGTTTATATATTTAATTTAAATTTATATTAAATAGATTTATTATAAACTATCTTGAAACTGTGGATTAAATAGAACACCATTTAATTTTGACATTGGTTAACCTGCATTGCAATATTACCTTGATATAATTTAGGAAGAGAATTATGGCATTATAATAAAATGACTGAGTTGAGTGACCATTAAGAGAAAGAGCAACAGGTGCAAAGAGGAAGAGTAAAAAAACCACCCATATTTGCATTAGACAGAAAAATTATCTGGTTTTAGTATTTGCTATTTTGTTTTGAAAAACATCTTAAGTCATGACATCTTCATAAAAATTAAGAATGGTTTAAATAAAGGAGCTACAATAAGACGAAGGTAACATTCTCATTGGATGCCAAAGACAGCTTTAGGAAAAGTCTAGATTTTAATCAAAAAGATTGCATTTTAAGGAATACCTTGGAAGAGGGGCTCACTGTTGACTGAAAATGATGTGACCACTTTTACTGATAGGACCATTAAATTCTCGCCATCAGTACTCATGATCCCTGCCTAGGTTATACTTTAATAGCATGAGCTTTTAGAAGTTTCACTTGTATGAAAAATAAAATTGGGAATAGAGTGATGGTTTTCTTTTTTCTTTTCTTTTTTTTTTGAGATGGGGTCTTGCTCTGTTGCCCAGGCTGGAGTGCAGTGGCTCCATCTCGGCTCACTGCAACCTCCACCTCCTGGGTTCAAGCTGTTCTCATGCCTCAGCCTCCTGAGTAGCTGGGATTACAGGTGCCCACCACCACGCCTGGCTAATTTTTGTATTTTTAGTAGAGATGTGGGACTCACCATGTTGGCCAGGCTGGTCTCGAACTCCTGACCTCAAGTGATCCACCTGCCTCAGCCTCCCGAGTTGCCTGGATTACAGGTGTGAGCCACTGCTCCCAGCCTTATGTTTTTCTTTTTAATCTAGAAGAGAAACAAACAAACAAAAAAAACTAGAATGTATGACTTCTTATTTTAGTAAACACTGAAAAATATTCTAGATATATAAACAGTTACTGGAAATCAAAACAATTTAACTATAGATAATATAAGGTTTTTAAATAATTTTCATTTTAGAGACAAAAAGTTATATTTAAAAAAATACCTTTCTCAGAAAAAAATGTACTGATAATCTAATGCTCTGTTACAATATGAGTTAAGGTAAGATATATGCACAAATCAATATATTATTTGGTATAAATTATAGTGTTAGAGTAGGTAGTTAGGTAGACATGAACAGGGCAGGAGAGGGCCCTCCCCGACCAACCAGGAATGTCAGGTGACCATCAGGTGAGGGTCAGGCAGCTGCTAAACTGTATCTCTAAAATAATAATAGCTTGCAGTCAGTGCCAGGGAAATGCAGCCTCCCAATAGATAGAAAACACCCAAAGCTGGTGATCAGCAGCTTCCCCATAAGATGTCAGGAGCTGAGTGAATGAGGTCAAGAATGTGTACTAAGAGGAAGAATGGCAGAATTTAACTGGTATACGACTTTCCCCTAGGAACACTTGACTAGTAAGGGAAGAATGCCTCACATGAACATGTGTGCAACTTTGGGAAACACACCGCACATGTGGCCCCTCCCAAGTGCTGGCAGACCACTGCACACACAGACAGCCCACCCCAAGGGAAAAATCAGGGGAGAGATAACACAACCCTGGAAGCATGCCAACACACCAAACCCCAAGTCAAAGGTCAAACCACACAATTGAAACTCTCAAGTCATCCGCTTGGTCCACTTCCCAGTGTACTTTACTTACTTCTTGCCCTAAAAGCTTTTAATAAACTTTCACTTCTGCTCTAAAACTTGCCTCAGTCTCTCACTATGCCTCATGTCCCTTGGTCAAATTCTTTCTTTTGAGGAGTCAGGAACTGAGGTGCCTGCAGACCCGTACAGACTTGCTTCTGCTAACAATAGAATCACAAAATGACATGGAATCTTGATATTAATCAACAATTTCTTTATTGATGCATCAAGTTTATTCTTAAGCACTTCTGGAAAGAAAGATTTATTATTTAGATAATACAACTCTTATATTTGAACGCCGTCTTTGAGGAGGTTCCTCTTAATGTTAATGCTAAATATTTCTGCTATGGTGTATAATTTTGAAGGAGTAGAATTTCTAATAGAATATATTTCACATATTGGAGTTTAAATAATATTTTTCAAATAAGTAGATAACTATCTGAGTATTTTTTTCCTCAAAAAAGAGAACTAAAAAATGAGGGCAGTATAAAGGGAGATGTACCATATAAATACCAATTGGCATACATGGAAGTGAGAGAAAAGCAAATCAAAGGGCTGGTGTATATATATATGCATAAAATAGCATATAATACATATGATATAATGTATAATATTGCTATTATCTTGCTATTGTTTTGATTGTTTAGTGATTTATTACTTATTTAGCAAATAAATTGTTTAGCAGTTACATATTATAGGTTATTTATATTTAATATATTTATCCTCTATTTTCTTTCTTATTTTTGCTATCTTACATTGTTCCCAAAAGATACTTCATTTTTCCACAGGAAATAAAGGTAGAAAAATTAACATAAGAAACAACGTATTTAAATAGCTTTTTCAAAGGTAATTTTTTAAAGCTGAGAGAAAAATATTAAAAAGCAAATGGAATATTATGGCACTAAGAAAAAAAACTTTTTAAATGTAGTTGTAGTAAATGTTTTATTGAATTAGTAGAGAAATAGAAGCATATGTACACATAATAATGATGGTACAATTAGAAATATAAATACTGAATTTAATACTGCCAGGAAGTAACTAAACAGCTTAGCCCAGAGGCAAGAATAGAAGACTGTACAATGTATGTAAATGGAAAAATCTAAATGATTTAGCTTCTTTTGAAGACCATATATTTGTATTTTAATGACTCTTAAAGATTATACTACAGTGATTATTGCATCTGTATACCAGAAATGAGGATTTAAAGAATAAAATGAAAAGCCAGTGTATTATGCTATATTTTCTAAATTTAAATAATTTATTTCGAAGTTAGGTTTTTTCTGCCAGGGTTATTGGGTTATTGAGGCATAATTGGAAAATAATGATTGTATATACTTAAGGTATTACAACATGATGTTTTGGTGTACATCTATATATTACACATATATATGTGTGTATATATATGTGTGTGTGTGTATATATGTGTGTGTGTATATATATGTGTGTGTATTACCATAATTAACGTAATTAACATCCATTGCAAGAATTCTTGACACAGGGGATCAAAGCAGACCCAGCTACCACAGTATTTATACCTCTACAACTTGCATTCTTAGGTCTAGTTTGGTAAGAAAGAACACTCACTCCAGTCTAGCAAAGCAACTTTATTATTCACAACAATCAACGGAAGTCTGGAATCCATGGCAAGCCAATTTCCCAAGGCTTAGAAGAGCTGCCCAAGATGGCTGGAGTCTCATATACACATGCCCCATTTTGTAACATAGTTGAGGTACACTGAAAGCACTCTACTCTGGGTTTCATATCCCAAGTGATACTTGGATGACTAGGAAAAAGTATTGCAGGCCACCCTGCTCTGGAACCGAGGACAACAGAGGAGGATGTTCCATAACATTACTCCTTATCTTAGGATACTGCATTTTTGGCACATTCTACAGTTATTCTGACAACTACAAGCAGGATGAGGTAGAGAGCTGGGTCGAGGCCATTCAGTGGCCTGTCCTCCTGCAATTCACCTCTCATCTTTCATATTACACATATAAAAGTCAGTGTATTTTTTCATGCACACTAACTTTCCTCAGTCTGGAGGCAGAAGTTTGTCCCATCAGATTGATGTACACCTTGATTAATGCAATCTCTTTGCAACATCATTGAGCCATAGGCAGATGTATTTCACTAGGCCCATGAATATCACTGCCATAAACAGGATGCTCAGGCCTGCCTGAAACAGTGAATAGCTCAGGATTCCAGTGATTCAGGTAGAAAGTGGCTAAACAGATAAATTGCTGAATGAATTAGAAAACAGACAAATAAATGTAATCCAAGTTTATGCTGCCTAGAAGAGTACATCAGGCTTACTAGAGACCTACCAAGCCAAGTATAGTTCATTTATGTCTTTTATGAGATCTTTGGTATTATACATAGGAGTCAGTGATAAGTGATAAAAAAGCGATAAGAAATCTGTCCCTGTCCATGACAGGTATTACTTCCTCCACTGCCACTGCTTTGTCAGCTCAGCAGACATCCCTCAACTCCATCAGGAAGAGTATTTTAAAGAACATAATTGTTCTAGACTTTAATTGCTAGACAGAATTGCTCCATCCAACTGGGAGGAGTGTGTGTAGTTGTCAGTACCTCCTGCTGGATCAATGTCTCAAGAATTATAGACAAGTCAAAGAGATTTTCCAGTCTGCAGATCCACTTGCTGCAGACAGTGAGACCATTAGAAGAATCATTTATTGATCTCTTTAGCCACCTTTTACCTGAATCACTGGAATCCTGAGCTATTCACTGTTTCAGGCAGTGAGTTTGACCAATTGGAAAATTTAATCTAATAATTTGAGTAATTATTGATAGATGAAACTTATTTCCATTTTGTTAATTGTTTCTGGCTGTTTATTATAGTTTTTGTACTTCTTTCCTGCTCTGTTGTTATCTTTCTTTATTATTTGATGACTTTGTGTGCATTGACTCCTTGCCCTTTATCTTTTGTGTCAGCAAGTTTGTTTTCTTTTTGGATACTTTGGGGCTCACCTAAGGCATCATATAGTTTAAACAACCTGTCTAAACCTGCTAGTAATTTAACTTAAGCCACAAATGAAAGGTCTACACTTTAACTTCCCTTTCCACATTGTTTATTGTTGTCATAATTGACATCTTTTTATAGTGAATCAATTAAGAAGTTATTGTAGCTACAGCTATTTTTAATATCTTTCTTTTTTAACTTTCATACTAGAATCAAAAGTGACTTGTAGACTACCATTACAGTATTCAAAGATTCTGAATTTTACTATGCTTTTACCATTAAAGTCAGTTGTATACATTCATACATTTTACTGTTATTAGTGAGCATCTTATTTTAACTTAAGAACTTCTTTTAGCTTCTGGTAAAGCAGATCTAGTGGAAAAAAAAAACTTCCTGATGTTTTGTTTGAAAGTATTTACCTCCCTGTCATTACTGTAGGAGGGATTTTCTAGGTATAGCTTTTGTTTGGCAGATTTTTTTTTTCTCTCTCAGATCTTTAAATGTTACCTCCAACTCACTCTACCCCTGCAAGCAGATTTCTGAAGAGAAATCTGCTCACAGCCTCCTGGGGTTTCTTTCTATGTTATGGGTCACTTTTTTCTTGTTGCTTTTAAAATTTTCTTTGGAATTTTGAGAATTTGTTTATACTTTATGTTGGTGAAGTTGTGTTTAATCCATTTGGGATTCTCTGAGATTAATGAACCTTAATGTCTATTTCCCCCTCCAAATTTGGAAAACTTTCTGTCATCATTAATTCAATAAGTTTTCTGTCATTGTTTTTTCTTTCTCTGCTCATTCTGGTACTCTCATAATGTGTATGTATGTGTGTGTGTGCATATATGTATATATTTATTTTTTTAATGGGGTCTGGTGAGTCTCACAGACCTTCCTCACTATTTTTCATTCTTCTTTCTTTTTTTTTTGTTCCATTGACTAGGTAATTTTAAATGACTTAATTTCAAGTCTTTGATTCTCTTTTCTCCTTTATTGAGTCTGTTATCACAGCTTTCCCTACAATTTTTCACCCAGTTTTATTCTTCAGTTCCAGAGTTTCTCTTTATTTTTACGGCAGTTTATCTTTGTTGAACTTCTCATTATTTTCATGTTTTGTTTTCCTGAATTTATTTAGAATTTATTTAGTGTATTCTCTTGCAGCTCACTGCGTTTCTTTAAGATGGTTATTTTGAAATCTTTGTCAGAAAGTTCATAGATCTCCATACGGTTAGTTACTGGTGCTTTATTTCATTTCTTTCATGTTACCATATTTCCCTGATTATGTATGATTCTGTGTTTCTGTTTTGATGTCTACTCTTTAAAGAGTAAGCTCCATTTTCAGTCTTTTTTTTTTTTTTTTTTTTTTTTTGAGACGGAGTCTCGCTCTGTCGCCCAGGCCGGACTGCGGACTGCAGTGGCGCAATCTAGGCTCACTGCAAGCTCCGCTTCCCGGGTTCACGCCATTCTCCTGCCTCAGCCTCCCGAGTAGCTGGGACTACAGGCGCCCGCCACCGCGCCCGGCTAATTTTTTGTATTTTTAGTAGAGACGGGGTTTCACCTTGTTAGCCAGGATGGTCTCGATCTCCTGACCTCATGATCCACCTGCCTCGGCCTCCCAAAGTGCTGGGATTACAGGCGTGAGCCACCGCGCCCGGCCTCCATTTTCAGTCTTTAAAGATTAGCCTTGGCAGGAAAATCCTGCATTCAGCCCATCGAGAGATTTTGAGTGGGCCGACTGTGGAGATCTGTGGGCAGACTTGCTAGTGGAATCCTTGGGCAGACTGGTCTAGTGCCTATGACAGCACGTGTGAGCAGGTCTTGTATCTGGGTCCATAGAGGTTTGCCTGTTGCCTGGGTCTGTGGTGGCAGTCAGAGAGCCTGAGTTCATGGAGATGGGTAGGGAACCTAGGTCTGCAAGGGCCAGACAGATAGTAGAGTCCCATGGGGTGGTCCTGGCTGCTGAGACTGTGGGAGCAGGCATTGAGACTTGGTCAAGACAGCTCAGTGTGAGGCCTGGGTTTATGGAGTCAGATGTGGCAGTAGGGCATATATTGGGTCTTAGTCTTCAGGGACTGGGTTGCCACTGGAGCAAATCTTGTGCCTTGACCCACAAAAGTAGGCTTGGACCTGATTCCATGAGAATGCCCTGATACCTGGGTCCATAAGTGCAGGCATGGTGCCTGAAGTCATGGGGACTAACCTCGGGCTTAGAAAATAAGGAAGAGGTAATAAAGGTAATATGAAAATGTTCTTCCTACTCTCATCAATTTGTATTTTCTTAACTCGTACTTTAGGGATGGTTGCTAAAATTGATTTTTCTGAGGAGTGAGCACTGGAAACTCTTATTCCACCATCTTGCTTATGTCACTTGCCCGAAAATAATCTTTAAAATGTATTTAATTACATTACATTACAAATATATTACACTACAACAATTAGCTCTTCAGAGTAGTTGAAGACTATATTCCATGGACAGGTACTTCTATTCAAGCACGAAATCTTTTGAGTGTTGCTTTTTAAAAAATCTATAATTCACCATGTCACTGTCTGCAAATTAGTTCAACATGTGGCAATATGTGAGAAGCTAATGCTATTTAAATCATGCTGATTAAATAGATGAGCATCTCAGTTCTAAGGAACATTAATTTCATTCCAAAATACAAGATGATGGAAAAAGAAACAATTTTCTATGTCATTACAACTGCAGCAAAATACAACATGATTGCTCATCACAAACTTGAGCCTGCTTAATGCTCTTTTATCAAGTGCAGTTTCTAATATCAAACAGCAAATGTTTTATTAAAAGTTCAAATTATATATAGTTTTACATTCTTGATTCTAAATTAATAAACTTTAGGTTGTTCTAAAGCTATCTTATTGCCATGGAAAATAATTCTGATCATTTTTTATTTTAATAGCAAAATAAGTAGAAACTACTTATTGGAAAATGCAAAATGTTATTTGCCATTAAGTTTTACTAAGAATAGATTTATTCTATAATAGATAACTCATGGGAATTTTAATATCCTCATAAATACTAACACAAGGGGCATATATTTGTCTGCTGACAGCTTAGCCTTCAGATAGAAAAAAAAATTATTCTATCATAAGAAGTCAAGAAAATTTTATTCTAGCCTTAAGTCACCATTTTTTTCTTTATGCAATAGTAGCAGCAATACTACTGCATAATATATATAATATATTATATATATTATATATATAATATATATAATATATATAATATATATATTATATATATTATATATATATTCAGTTTTCCCAGCACCATTTACTGAAGAGACTATCTTTTCACCAAGTTATGTTCTTGGCACCTTTTTCAAAAAATGAGTTCAATGTAAGTGTATGGATTTGTTTCTGGGTTCTCTATCCTGCACATTTATTTCTGGGTACATAGCCAACAGTATTGAAAACATGATCTCAAAGAGATGAATGCACACTCATATTAACAATAGCACCATTCACAACCATCAAGAGGTGAAAGCAATTCTAATATCCATTAATGGATGAAGAGACGAGTGTGGTATATACATACTATGGAATATTAATGTCTTAAAAGGAAGAAAATTCTGTCACATTCTAAAATACAAAAAATGAGGACATTATGTTTAGTAAAATAAACTAGTCTTGAAAGGACAAATGCTGTACAATTTCACCTATTTGAAGTATCTAAAGTATCCACAGAATTTAAAAGTACAACTGTGATGACTATGGTCTTAGGGAAGGGGACAAATAAGAGTTGTGGTTTAATGGCTACATGGTTTCAGATTTGCAAAATGAAAATGTTTTTGAGATCTATTTCACAACCCACGTTCATATACTTAACACTACTGAATTATAGATTAAAAATGATTAAGATGGTAAAATATCTATGTCTCCATTTATTTATCTATCTCTACATCTGTATCTACACCACCCAAAATATTTCACTTTGGCATAATGATTATTTTGAGCTAAAGACGTTTGAGATTCAAGGGATGCAGAAAGAAGCCTTGCCCAAGCTCCCTTTATCTGCCTAAAAGAAGAAACTCCTTACAAACAAGGACTGTTGTAAATACCCTCTTTCGGGGAAAGTTTATGGCTATGAAGAACACAGAAAGTTAACACAGAGATGGGCTTATGCAAACAAAACTTGCTAAGATAGTCCTTATATTCCATTAGTTTTCACCATGTATTTACCTTCCCACAGTTTGCTGCCCTTGGAAGCCCCAAAACCTTTACTTTGTGTTGTGACATCTCCACAATGTATTGTACTTTGTTAAAAACAGTATATAAGTTTTTAGGTCAATTGCTTTTTCGGGTCTTCTTCTCTAAGAAGGCATTTGTGTCATGTAAAAATTGACGTCACAAAAAATTTGCATGCTGTTTCTACTGTTAATCTTTTATCAATCTAATTTATAGGGCTCCAGCCAATAAACCTAAAGACGGTAATTTAAAAAGTGCTTAACTATCTTATGATATATAGATCTGAGAAGTTTTGTTGTTGTTTCTTTTTGTGTGGATGGATGGATGGATGGATTTTGAGTCAGAGTCTCTCTCTATTACCCAGGCTAGAATGCAGCGACACCATCTCTGCTCACAGCAACTTCCACCTCTCAGATTCAAGCAATTCTCATGCCTCAGCCACCCAAGTAGCTGGGATTACAGGCATTTTGCCACCGCACCTAGCTAATTTGTGTGTGTGTGTGTGTGTGTGTGTGTGTGTGTGTGTGTGTGTGTGTTTTCAGTAGAGATGGAGTTTTGCCATGTTGGACAGGCTTATCTTGAACTCCTGGCCTCAAGTGATCTGCCTGTCTCGGAGATCTGAGGTTTTTAAAAATATATATATATTTTAAATTGACTTACTTATAAAATGACATTAATTTACAATTCACTTGTAACCAGAAAATAAATTTATTCTGAATTTATTATTCATGAAAGTTGATGGAGTTCCATGTTTGCTCTCTTAGACCCAGGTCATTTTCTCTGGAGCACTCTGTAAGCCCATTAGTTATATACTTCTTCTATTATGCCAAGGATCAAATCTCACCTTACAATTAAGGACCGTTTCTTGATGCCCAAGTTATTCATAAGGAATGCTGTTCTCATTTTCTACCATTATCTCTGCCCCTTCACATTTCCTTTTCCTTTGACAGCATAGCATTTTTACTGGAATAATGAAAAATTTTCCTTGTTCTGCTGTCATTATGTATTTCTAAGCTGGTTTTGTCATTAGTATTTAATTTTTCTATGTTTTAAAAAGACAAAAATCTTTCCGTACCTCTAAACACTTTAATCTGTTTGTTTATGAAATGTATGTGTTAAACAACTTACATAAAATATATACGTATATAAATATACATATACATATATATGGCTCCTCCAGATCTGCTTTAATACAAGTGGCATTTCATGATGAAGCTGAAGGAACAATCAAGCAAAAAAAAAATAAAGATTTATTTTAATGTTTGATTTGAATTTCTTATTTACCAGGTTCTATTTACCTTTTTCATATCAACTCAAAATAAATAACATATTGTTTTGATACTTCTGTCACTCTTCACCAAAAAAAAAAACTTTTGTAAAAAGCAAACACCACTGTAGTCAGTAACTTTATATTATAATAATTGAATTTTGATGAAACTTTGACATTCTGAGAGTTCAAGTTAGGAAAACAGCAGTTGCCCTGATTGATGGGCATAATGGTATGTGTACACTCCTTATGTCCTTCAACTGTATATATATATATATGCAGAAAAATGAAACTACCCCCCTATCTCTTACCATACTCAAAAATCAATCTAAGATCTCAAACTAGGAAATTCCTACAAGAAAATATTGGAGAAAATCTCCAGGACATTGGTCTTGGCAAAAAATTTTTGAGCAGTAACCCAGAAGCACAGGCAACCAAAGCTCTGTAGTACAACTTGAAGTCAGGTAATATTTCTTCAGTTTTGTTTTTCTTCCTTGGGATAACTTTGGCTATTCTGGGTCTTTTCTGGTTCCATATAAACTTTAGAATTTTTTTTCTATTTCTGTGAAGAATGTCATTGGTATTTTAATAGGGATTGAATTAAATCTGTAAATTCCTTTGGGTAGCATTTACATTTACTAATATTCATTCTTTCAATTCATGAACCTGGAATATTTTTCCATTTTCTTGTGTCCTCTTCAGTTCCTTTTATCAGTGTTTTATAGTTTTCATTATAAGACTCCTTCACTTCTTTGGTTAATTTAATTATATTTGAAGCTATTGTAAATTGGATTAATTTTTTTTGAGACATTGTCTCACTCTATCACCTAGGCTGGGGTGCAGTGTCATGAACATGGCTCACTGCAGCCTTGACCCCATGTATTTAAGTGATCCTCCCACCTCTCAACCTCCCCAGCAACTGGGACTATAGCCATTCACCACAAAGCCTGAGAAATTTTTGTGTTTTTGTATTTTTTGTGTGTGTAGATTGAGTTTTGCCGTGTTTCCCAGGCTGGTCTCAAACTCCTGGTTTCAAGCAGTCTACCTGCCTTGGCCTTCCAAAGTGCTGGGATTATAGGCATGAGCCAGATTACTTTTTTTTTTTTAATTTTTCTACATGGCTAATGACTTCTAGTACTATGGTGAATAACAGTGGTGAAAGTGGGCATGCTTGTGTTTCAGATCTTACATTAAAGGCTTTCCATTTCTCCCCATTCAATATTGTACTAGATGTGGGCCTGTCATATATAGATTTTGTTATATTGAGGTATGTTCTTTCGAACCCCAGTTTTTTGAGGGTATTTTATCATTAAGGGATGTTGAATGTTATCAAGTGCTTTTTCAGGAACACTTGAAATGATCATACAGTTTTTATCCACCATTCTGTTGATATGTATCATGTTGACTGATTTGCATATATTGAACCGTTCTTACATTCCAGAGATAAATCCCACTTGGTCATGGTGTATGATCTTTATAATGTATTGTTGAATTTGATTTGCTAGTTTTTTGTTGAGTATTTTTGCATCAATATTCATCGGAGATATTGGCTTGTAGTTTTCTTTTTTTGATGTGTCTTTGGTTCTGGTGTCAGGGTAATGACCTTGTACCATGAGTTTGGAAACAATCCTTCCAGCTGTATTTTTTAGAATAATTTGAGTAGGATTGGTATTAGTTCTTCTTTAATTGTTTGATCGAGCTCAGCAGTGAAGCCATCCCACTTGGTCATGGTGAATGATCTTTATAATGTATTGTTGAATTTGATTTGCTAGTTTTTTCTTGACTATTTTTGCATCAATATTCATCAGAGATATTGGCTTGTAGTTTTCCTTTTGTGATGTGTCTTTGTCTGGTTTTGGTATCAGGGTAATGACCTTGTACCATGAGTTTGGAAACCACCCATCTGGGTTATAATGTATTGTTGAATTTGATTTCTCGTCCTGGGCTTTTCTTTACTGGCAGATGTTTTATTTTGGCTTCAATCTCATTACCTGTAATTTATTTGTTCAAGTCTTGGATTTCATCCTGGTTAAACTTTGGTAAATTGTATGCGTCTGGGAATTCGCCTATTTTTTCTAGATTTTCCAATTTCTTAGTATATAGTTATTCATAGTAGACAATAATGATCCTTTGAATTTCTTGAGTGTTAGTTGTAATGTCTCTTTTTCATTTCTGATTTTATTTACTTAGATCTTCTCCCTTTTCTTCTTAGTCTGGCTAAAAGTCTGTCCATTTTGTTTTACTTTTTTTTTTTTTTTTGAGATGGAGTCTTGCTCTGTCCCCAGGCTTGAGTGCAGTGGCGTGATCTCAGCTCACTGCAACCTCTGCCTCCCAGGTTCAAGTGATTCTCCTGCCTCAGCCTCCCGAGTAACTGGAACTACAGGCATGTGCCACCACTCCCAGCTAATTTTTGTATTTTTAGTACAGATGGGGTTTCACCATATTGGCCAGGATGGTCTTGACCTCCTGACATTGTGATCCACCTGCCTCGGCCTCCCAGAGTGCTGGGATTACAGGCGTGAGCCACCGTACAAGGCCTACTTGTTTTTTTTTTTCCAAACAAATAAACAAACAAAAAAAACTTTTCATTTTATTGATTTTTGTATTGTTTTCTTCAATTGAATTTCATTTAGTTCTGCTCTGATATTTATTATATCTTTTCTTCCACTAAATTTGGGATCGATTTCATCTTTTTTTTCCAGTTCTTTAAGATGCGTAATTAGATTACTTAACTGAAGTCTTTCCTTCTTTTTGATACAGGCACTTATAGCTATAAACTTCCCTGTGAGTATTGCTTTTGCTATAGCCCATTGGTTTTGCAATGCTGTGCTTTCATTATCATTTGTTGCATGAAAGTTTTCAATTTCCTTCTTAATTTCTTCATTGACTTACTGGTCATTCAGGAACATATTGTTTGATTTCCATATATTTGTATAGTTTCCACAGTTGTTCGTGTTATTAATTTTTTGGTTTATTCCATTCGGAACAGAGAAGATGCTTGATATTATTTCAATTTTTTGAATGTGTTAAAACTTGTTTTGTGACCTAAAATATAGTCTATCATTGAGCATGATCCATGTGCTGAGCAAAATAATTTGTGTTCTATAGCCATTGAATTAAATGTTCTGTAAACATTAGATCCACTTAGCCTATAATACAGATTAAGTTTGATTTTTCTCTGTTGCTCTTCTGTCTGGAAGATCTGTCCAATATTCAACCTGGGATGTTGAAGTCTCCAGCTAGCTCTTATAATGATTTCTTTATGTATCTAAGTGCTTCAGTGTTGGGTGCATATATATATTTAAAATTGGTATATCCTCTTGCTGAATTGACCCCTTTATCATTATATAGTGACCTTCTTTGTCTCTTCTTACAATTTTTGTCTTGAAATCTATTTTGTCTGTAAAAAGTATGGCAACTTCTTCTCTTTTTTTGTTTCCGTTGGCATGGAATATCTTTTTCCAGTCTTTTTTTTTTTTCAGTCTATGTGTGTCTTTATAGGTGAAGTGTGTTTCTTGTAGGCAACAGATGAATGGGTCTTGTTTTTGTATCCATTCAGCCAGTCTATATATTTTGGTTGTTGGAAGGTTTAGTCCATTTATATTCAATGTTGTTGTTGATAAGTAAGGATTTACTCCTGCCATTTTGTTGTTTTCTGTTTTTTTTTTTTTTTTTTGGTGGTCTTCTCGTCCTTCTAGCTTTGCTTCCTGTCTTCTTTTAGTGATGGTGATCTTTTCTGGTGATATGAATTAGTTTCTTGCTTTTAATTTTTTGTGTATTCATTGTATGTTTTTTGGTTTGAGGTTATTATGAGGCTTGCAAATACTGTCTTACAATCCATTATTTTAACCTGAGAAGAACTTTATATTGTTTCCATAGACAACAAGACAAAAAGAAAACTATAAAAATTCTATGCCTTAACTTCATCCCCACTGCTTTTTAACTTTTTGTTGTTTCTATTTATATCTTATGGTACTGTCTGTGTCTTGAAAAGTTGGTGTAGTTATTATTTTTGATTGGTTCTTTCTGGTTAGAATGAGTAGTTTATACCCTACAGTTACAGTGTTGCAATACTCTGTGTTTGTCTGTGTATTTACTATTACTAGTGAGTTTTGTAACTTTGGGTGATTATTCTTCATTAACATTCTTTTGCATTTGTTTCTTTCTAATTAAAGTATTCCCTCTACCAATTATTGTATGACAGGTCTGGTGTTGGTGAAATCCCTTAGCTTTTGGTTTGTGTGGGAAAATATTTATTTCCCCTTTATACTTGAAGGTTATTTTTGCCAGATATACTATTCTAGAGTAAATTTCTCTTTTCCTTCAGCACTAAGTGTGTCATGCCACTTTCTCCTGGCTGGAAATGTTTCTAATAAAAAGTCTGTTGCCAGATGTATTGGAACTTCATTGTACATTTATTTATTTATTTCTCTTGCTGTTTTAGAATCCTTTTTTATTCTTGATTTCTAAAAGTTTGATTATTAGATTCCTTGAGATAGTCTTTTCTGGGTTAAATTTGCTTGACGTTGTATAACCTTCTTGGACTTGAATATTGATATATTTCTCTAGGTTTGGGAAGTTCTCTTTAATTATTCCTTTGAATAAACTTTCTACCCCTATCTTTTATTCTGCCTCTTCTTTACTGCTTATATTTGCTCAAGGTCCTGGGGCACTACAATCAGCAGGTGGCAAAGCCAGCTGCATGGGAAAACCTTTGTCCTTCCATTTAGAGCAGTGAGGTCCCCAGGCGCTGGGTGAGTCCAGAGGTGCATTCCAGGAGTCAGGGACTAGATTCAAAAACCTTAAAAGTCTATCTGGTATTTTATCGTACTGATGCTGTGCTAGCACTCACACCACAAGATATAGTCCTTCCCAGTCTTCCCTCCACTTTCTAAAGGCAGAGGAGCCTCACCTTGTAGTCATCACCACCAGAGACCATGTAAAGTTCTGCTAGACTAACTCTGATATTCCCTTAAGGCCTAAGGTCTTTTAAGTCGGCTTGTGGTGAATGCTGCCTGTCTTGGGACTCACCCTTCATGGCAGTGGAACTCCCTCTGGCCTAGAGCAAGTCCAGAGATGCCATTCAAGAGTCGAGTCTTGTAATTGGGTACCCAAAATGCCCACTTGGTGTTCTACCTTGCTGTGGCCATGCTGTACCTAATGTGCAAGACAAAAGTCCCCTTTATTGTCACTCTGCTTTTCTCAAGAAGGAGTTTCATCTTTTAGTCACCAAAGCTGGCAATGTACTTGAATGTCAAAGCTACTCCACCCACACCATCAATTAGCAGAAGTCTGGTGCAGGGAGCATTTTAAGGTACTGAGGGAGGGAGAACACAGCAACTGTGAGTGCTGTCTTACCTGAAGCCAGCAAGTCGCAGAGGCTCATCCAAGGCTTTCTACATAGTACCTGGGTATTGCGGCTGGTTGTTCAGGACCCAAAGGCTCTTCAGTTAGCTGGTAATGAATGTTGTCAGGAGTGAGTTCTTCTCTTCAAGGCAGCATATTTCTTTCTGGCCCAAAGTGTGTCTAGAAATGTCATCTGGACATCCAGTTCCCATTCTAGGACCCAGAATGACGGCCTCACCACTCTGACCAATTCCCTATCGTGCTGTGGCTGAGCCAGTATCCAAGATGCAAAACAAAGTCCTCCCCACTCTTCCCTCACCTCTCCTCAAGCAAAGGAAGGGTTGTCTTTTGGAGCCACAAGCTGTGTAGCCTGCCGTTAGGGGACGGGTGATGCCAGCACTCCTTTGGTGCCCCATCTAGTGTCTCAGTAAGTTGTCTGACCCCCACCATCCCACTGTCTCTGGGTCTAGTTCAGACCTAGGACTCACTTAAGAGTTGCAGTACTTATGTCCTAGAATACCTCAGAGCACTGTAGCCCTTGGTTGTGAGGTTTGCGGACACTCAAGTTCAGACAACTGGGATCCATGATACCACTCTGACTAGGACTGCTTCAAATGCTCCCTCCCTGGGCTGGCATCAGCTGAGTTTGCTCTGGATTTTCCTTCAGCTGTAACAGGACAGCACTCCCAATTGCCATGCTCTTCCTCCCTCAGTACCTTGAGATGCTCCCTGCAGCAATTTCTGCTGATGGATGGCGTGGGAGGAGTGGCTTTGGGATTCAATACTTTTTTTTTTAATCCCTTCGGTGCCTCTTTCAATGTTATGTAGTCAAAAGAAGGTACCATATGAGGGCTCACCTTATTTTTTGTTCTTATGAATTTTTGTGTGTGTAGATAGTTGTTAAATTGGTGTTCTTCTTGGGGAATGATTGGTGGAGGCTTCTGTTCTGCTTTCTGTTCTGTTTCCAATCTTCATTAATGTTTTGATTTACATTTCTCTGATGATTACTGATGCTGAGTATATTTTCATATGCTTGTTGGCCATTTTTATACCTTTTTTATTCCTTCTTTGAAAAATATATTTTCAAGACCTTTGCTAATTTATATGTATATACACATATACATATATACGTACATATTTATATACATATGTATGTAATATACATAAATATGTACATATGGAACCGGGTGCGTTGGCTCATGCCTGTAATCCCAGCACTTTGGGAGGCTGAGGCAGGCGGATCACGAGGTCAGGAGATCAAGACCATCCTGGCTAACACGGTGAAACCCCATCTCTACTAAAAATACAAAAATTAGCCAGGCATGGTGGCGGGCACCTGTAGTCCCAGCTACTTGGGAGGCTGAGGCAGGAGAATGGCCTGAACCTGGGAGGTGGAGCTTGCAGTGAGCTAAGATGGCGCCACTGCACTCCAGCCTGGGCAACAGAGCAAGAAGACTCCATCTCAAAAAATATATTATGTACATATGTATATGTGTCTATACATATGTATATACACACATGTATACATATATACTTATGTACATATATGTATATACATATACATATGTATATACATATACATATGTATATACATATACATATGTATATACACATGTATACATATATACTTATGTACATATATGTATACACATATACATATGTATATACACACATGTATACACATATACTTATGTACACACATGTATACACATATACATATGTATATACACACATGTATACACATATACATATGTATATACACACATGTATACACATATACATATGTATATACACACATGTATACACATATACATATGTATATACACACATGTATACACATATACATATGTATATACACACATGTATACACATATACATATGTATATACACACATGTATACACATATACATATGTATATACACACATGTATACACATATACATATGTATATACACACATGTATACACATATACATATGTATATACACACATGTATACACATATACATATGTACATATATGTATATACACATATACATATGTACATATATGTATATACATATATACTTATGTACATATATGTATATACATATACATATGTATATACACCCATGTATACATATATACTTATGTACATATATGTATATACATATATACTTATGTACATATATGAATACATATATGTAGATACATGTGTATATGTGTAGATACATATATGAATACATATGTGTATATAGATGTGTATGTGTGTATATACATATATGAATACATATGTGTATATAGATGTGTATGTGTGTATATACATATATTAATACATATATGTATATACATAAGTATATGTGTATATACATATATGAATACATATATGTATATACATAAGTATACGTGTATATACATATATGAATACATATATGTATATACATAAGTATACGTGTATATACATATATACGTAAGTATACATTTATACACATATAAAATAAGTATACGTGGACGTATATACATATCTATATATAACTATATAGCAACTATATATTTATAGTTGAGCTGTAGGAGTTCTTTACATATTCTGGGTGTTAACATCTTATTATATGTATATGCTTTGTAAATATTTTCTCCTATTGTGTAGATTGCCTTTTCATTGTGGATTTTTCTTTTGATGCACAAAAGTTTTTTAGTAAGCTTGTAAGCTTGTTATGTCTTATTTGTCTATTTCTGCCTTTGTCACCTATACTTTTGTCATATCCAAGAAATCATTGCCAAGTCCTATGTTCTAAAGCATCTTTCTTATATTTTCTTCCAGGTTTTGTATGATTTGTGCTTTTACATATACGTGTTTTATTCATCTTAATTTTTGTGTATGTTATAAAATTAGGGTCTAACAATTATTTTGCATGGGCAAATCCAATTTTTCCAATACCTTTTGATGAAGAGATTATTCTTTCCACATTGTATGGTTTTGATATATGATATCTTGATATTAGATATCTTGAAGTTAAATATCTTGATATTTAATAGTTAAATATTAAAGATCATTTGACTATACAAGACAGTTTATTTCTGGAATCTGTATTCTTCTTTAATTTTTAATGTTTGTGGGTACACAGTAGGTATACACAAATATATACTTGTGGGGTACATTAAATATTTTAATACTGGCATGCAATACATATTAATCACCTCATGGTAAATGAGGTATCCATCCCCTCCAGTATATATCTTTCATGTACAAATAATCTAATTATACTTTTAGTTATTTTAAAATGGATAACTTAATTATTATTGACTATAGTCACTCTGTGTGTTATCAATTGTTAGGTATTATTTATTCTTTCTAACTTTTTTGTACCCATTAACTATCTCCACTTCTCCTCTCCCCACCAATACCCTTCTCAGTTGCTGTTACCATTCTTCTACTCTTATCTTCGTAAGTTCAATCATTTTAATTTAAATTCTAAAAATAAGTAATGTCATTCTTTTTTATGGCTGTACGCTACTCCATTATGTATATGTACCACATTTTCTTTATCAATTCATCTGTTGATGGACACTTAGGTTGCTTCAAATTTTGGCTACTGCAAAGAAAGCTGCAATAAATGTGGGGGTTCAAATATCTCTTTAATATCCTGATTTCCTTTCTTTGAGTGTATATATACCTAACAGTGGGATTGCTAGATCAAATAGTAGTTCTATCTTAAACTGTTCTCCACAGTGGTTGTACTAACTTATATTCCTGCCAACAATATAAAAGAGATTATTTTTCTCCATATTCCCTCCAGCATTTGTTATTTCCAGGACTAATTATTTTTCTTTTCCCCGAGGACAAATTCTGACTCCCAGCAGGGGATATATAAGGACAGCTTTTAATGCAGATCTCTCTAGATACAAGCTTTCCTACCTAACACATACCTTCCTAATCGTTCATGTGGTAGCCCATATCTGGGAATATCAACTATCACATTCTATGAGATTCTGATTTAAGGCCTTTAGGGAAGAACAGCCCATTTGTGGCTCAAATAGAGCTCTGGATTTGTCCCTTTTAAAGAGTATTGGCAGAAAATTCTTATGGGATTATTTAAGGCACTTGTTCTCTATGGCTGACCTTGACAGGTTTCCTTATAATTAGGCAGTAAGCTTATCAAGATAGAGTAGACATATATGCCATTCCCATTTAAGAAAAGTTGGCAGCACTTATAATGCTGTATATGGATACTAATACTAACTCTTGGGCTCTGTATTGTATTGCATTGGTCTATTTGTCTGTCTTTATGCCACTGCCATGTTGGTTTTATTACTGTGGCTTTGTAACATATTTGAAATCAGAATGCATGAGTCTTTCAGCTTTTTTTTAAATTTTGTTGTTTAGAATCTCATGAGATTTCATATAAATTTTAGAATATTTTAATTTCTTCAAAAAATTCAGTTAGAATTTTGATACAGTTTTATTAAACCTGAAGATTGCTTTGGGTAGTATAAACATTTTAATAATATTTTCTTCCAATCTACTAATATAACATCCTTTTTTATTTGTGACTTTAAAAATATCTTTTAACAATGTTTAAAAGTTTTTTTGTAAAATTCTTTCACCTCTTTGGTTAGGTTTATTTCAAAGTATTTTCTTTTTTTATATGCTGTTGTAAATGTAATTGTTTTCTTAATTTTCTTTTCAGATTGTTCATTGATTGTGTATAAAATGCAAATTACCCTGTGTACTGAATTGCATTTCTATACAGTTACAACGAATAATCTGAGAAGAAAATTAAGAGAAAAATACTTTTATGGGAACAATAGGCACTGGGGATTATGAAAGAGGAGAGGGAGACAGGGTAAGAGTTGAAAAAAACTACCCATTTGTACTATGCTATCTGTATGATGGATTCATTCATATGCTATATCTCAGCATCACACAATATCCCTTCATAACTAATCCCTTCATAACTAATACCCCCTGATTTTAAAATAAAAGTTGAAAGTGAAAAAATTGCAATTGACTTTTGTGTGTTGTCTTTTTATCCTGCTAGTGTCTTGAACTCATTTATTAATTTTAATTTTTTTAATGTAGAATCTTTAAGATTTTCTATATATAAGATAATATCATCTGTGGACAGAGATAATTTGGCTTTTTCCTTTCCAATGTGGATGACTTTGATTTTTTTTCTTCTTGTCTAATTGCTCTTGGTAAGGTTTCCAGTACTATATTGAATAGAAGTGGTGAGGGTAGGAATCCTTGTCTTGTTCCTCATCTTACAGGAAAGGATTTCAGTCTTTCCCCATTGACTATAATATTCACTATAAAATATTCATATTTGGCTGTATTATTTTTCAGTAGTTTCCTTCTATTCCTAGTTTGTTGGGGGTTTTTATTATAAAAGTGTATCGACTTTTTTTTCAAATACTCTGTATAAATTGAGTATATTCCTTTAAAAGCTGGGGTAAATTTAAAACCTGTAATTAATAATTGCCACTTTGTTGTCAGTGTAAATAACGGCATAGCAAATCCTTAACCCAGTAACCCAGGATGGGCCAAATGCATTCAGTCGGTAGTGGCAACTGCTTTGCTAAAAGTAGAAAAGTAACTTTTAGAGGAAACCGCGTTGTGAGCACACCTCACCAGTTCAGAGTTATTCTAAGTCAAAAAAAGCAAAAAGTAGCTTACTAACTCAAAAATCTTAAAGTATGGGGCTACTATGTTAGAAAAGCGTAATGTAACTCCAACCACTGATAATTCCCTTAACCCAGCAGATTTCCTATCAAGGGATTTAAATCTTAATTACCACACAAAAGTCCGACCAGACCTAGGAGGAACTCCCTTCAGGACAGGAGGATAGATGGTTCCTCCCAGGTGATTGAGGAAAAAACCACAATGGGTATTCAGTGATACGGAGACTCCTGTGGAAGCAGAGTTAGAAAAATTGCCTAATAACTGGTCTTCTCAAACGTGCAAGCTGTTTGCATTCAGCCAAGCCTTAAAGTACTTACAGAATCAAAAAGACTATCTCGATCCTGACTCAAAAGGATACCTGCACCCTCTCTGAAATGAATTTGCCTAAGAATTGCTTTTATGGAAATGCATCTTGATGGGGCAGCTGGGTTGTTATGAAATAGGAATCCAGCCCAGCTCTAGGACTCACCCCTGAACGCAAAGGCAATGTTGGGCACGCTGGTAAAGGACCACTAGAATCCAGCAGCCTGGACCCCTTTCTTTGTGGTCAAGAGAGGTGGGAAAACAGGTGCAGGACTGCTACATTGGTGAGCATAACTAATTCAATAAGCAGAGGTCCATGGGTGGTTACGCACCCTGGAAAAGAATAAGCATTGGGCCCTTAGAGGACGCGCTAGGACTAATGCTCATCGGAAAATGACTAGGGGTGCTGGCACCCCTATGTTCTTTTTTCAGATGGGAAACGTTCCCCCCATCCCAAGGCAAAAACACCCCTAAGATGTATTCTGGAGAATTAGGACCAATTTGACCCTCAGACCCTAAGAAAGAAATGACTTGTATTCTTCTGCAGTACTGCCTGGCCATGATGTCCTCTTCAAGGGGGAGAAACCTGGCCTCCTGAGGGAAGTATAAATTATAACACCATCTTACAGCTAGACCTCTTCTTTAGAAAGGAGGGCAAATGGAGTGAAGTGCCATATGTGCAAACTTTCTTTTCATTAAGAGACAACTCCCAATTATGTAAAAAGTGTGGTTTATGCCCTACAGGAAGCCCTCAGAGTCTACCTCCCTATCCCAGTGTCCCCCCGACTCCTTCCCCAACTAATAAGGACGCCCCTTTTACCCAAATGGTCCAAAGGTGAAAGACAAAGGGATAAACAATGAATCAGACAGTGCCAATATTCCCCGATTATGCCCCCTTCAAGCAGTGGGAAGAGGAGAATTTGGCCCAGCCAGAGTGCATGTAACTTTTTCTCTCTCAGACTTGAAGCAAATTAAAATAGACCTAGGTAAATTCTCAGATAACTCTGATGGCTATATTGATGTTTTACAAGGGTTAGGACAATCCTTTGATCTGACATAGAGAGATATAATGTTACTGCTAAATCAGACACTAACCCCAAATGAGAGAAGTGTCGCCAAAACTGCAGCCCGAGAGTTTGGCGATCTCTGGTATCTCAGCCAGGTCAATGATAGGATGACAACAGATGAAAGAGAATGATTCCCCACAGGCCAGCAGGCAGTTCCCAGTGTAGACCCTCACTGGGACACAGATTCAGAACATGGAGATTGGTTCCACAGACATTTGCTAACTTGCATGCTAAAAGGACTAAGGAAAACTAGGAAGACTATGAATTATTCAATGATATCCATTATAACACAGGGAAAGGAAGAAAATCCTATTGCCTTTCTGAAGAGACTAAGGGAGGCACTGAGGAAGCATACCTCTCTGTCACCTGACTCTATTGAAGGACAACTAATCTTAAAGGATAAGTTTATCACTCAGTCAGCAGCAGACATTAGAAAAAAAAACTTCAAAAATCTGCCTTAGGCCTGGAGCAAAACTTAGAAACCTATTGAACTTGGCAACCTCGGCTTTTTATAATAGAGATCAGGAGGAGTAGATGGAACAGGACAAATGGGATTAAAAAAAAAAAAGGCCACCGCTTTAGTCATGGCCCTCAGGCAAGTGGACTTTGGAGGCTCTGGAAAAGGGAAAACCTGGGAAAATCAAATGCCTAATAGGGCTTGTTTCCAGTGTGGTCTACAAGGACACTTCAAAAAAGATTGTTCAAGTAGAAATAAGCCGCCCCCTCGTCCATGCCCCTTATGTCAATGGAATCACTGGAAGGCCCATTGTCCCAAGGGACGAAGGTCCTCTGAGTCAGAAGCCACTAACCAGATGATCCAGCAGCAGGACTGAGGGTGCCCAGGGCAAGCGCCAGCCCATGCCATCACCCTCACAGAGCCCCGGGTATGCTTGACCATTGAGGGCCAGGAGGTTAATTGTCTCTTGGACACTGGCATGGCCTTCTCAGTCTTACTCTCCTGTCCTGGACAGATAGATCTGTCACTATCCGAGGGGTCTTAGGACAGCCAGTCACTAGATACTTCTCCCAGCCACTAAGTTGTGAAGGGAGAACTTTACTCTATTCACATGCCTTTCTAATTATGCCTGAAAGCCCCACTCCCTTGTTAGGGAGAGACATTCTAGCAAAACCAGGGGCCATTATACATCTGAACATAGGAGAAGGAACACCCATTTGTTGTCCCCTGCTTGAGGAAGGAATTAATCCTAAAGTCTAGGCAACAGAAGGACAATATAGATGAGCAAAGAAAGCCCATCCTGTTCAAGTTAAACTAAAGGATTCTGCCCCCTTTCCCTACCAAACGCAGTACCCGCTCAGACCTGAGGCCCAACAAGGACTCCAAAAGATTGTTAAGGACCTAAAAGCCCAAGACCTAGTAAAAGCATGCAGTAGCCCCTGCAATACTCCAATTTTATGAGTACAGAAACCCAATGGATAGTAGAGGTTAGCACAAGATCTCAAGATTATCAACGAGGCTGTTGTTCCTCTATACCCAGCTGTACCTAGCCCTTATACTCTGCTTGCCCAAATACCAGAGGAAGCAGAGTGGTTTTCAGTCCTGGGCCTTAAGGATGCCTTTTTCTGCATCCCTGTACATCCTGACTCTCAATTCTTGTTTGTCTTTAAAGATCCTTCGAACCCGACGTCTCAACTCACCTGGACTGTTTTACCCCAAGGGTTCAAGGATAGCCCCCACCTATTTGGCCAGGCATTAGACCAACACTTGAGCCAGTTCTCATACCTGGACATTCTTGTCCTCCAGTATGGGGATGATTTAATTTTAGCCACCTGTTCAGAAACCTTGTGCCATCAAGCCACCCCAGCACTCTTAAATTTCCTCGCTACCTGTGGCTACAGGTTTCCAAACCAAAGGCTCAGCTCTGCTCACAGCAGGTTAAATGCCTAGGGCTAAAATTATCCAAAGGGACCAGGGCCCTCAGTGAAGAATGTATCCAACCTATACTGGCTTATCCTCATCGCAAAACCCTAAAGCAACTAAGAAGATTCCTTGGCATAACAGGTTTCTGAGGAATATGGATTCCCAGGTACGGCAAAATAGCCAGACCATTATATACACTAATTAAGGAAACTCCGAAAGCCAATACCCATTTAGTAAGATGGACACCTGAGGCAGAAGCGGCTTTCCAGGCCCTAAAGAAGGCCCTAACCCAGGCCCCAGTGTTAAGCTTGCCAACGGGGCAAGACTTTTCTTTATATGTCACAGAAAAAAAAGGAATAGCTCTAGGAGTCCTTACACAGGTCCCAAGGATAAGCTTGCAACCTGTGGCATACCTGAGTAAGGAAATAGATGTAGCAGCAAAGGGTTGTCCTCATTGTTTGCCGGTAGAGGCGGCAGTAGCAGTCTTAGTATCTGAACAGTTAAATAATACAGGAAAGGGATCTTAATGTGTGGACATCTCATGATGTGAACGGCATACTCACTACTAAAGGAGACTTGTGGCTGTCAGACAACCATTTACTTCAATATCAGGCTGTATTACTTGAAGGGCCAGTGCTGCGACTGCACACTTGTGCAACTCTTAACCCAGCCACATTTCTTCCAGAAAATGAAGAAAAGATAGAACGTAACTGTCAACAAGTAATTGCTCAAACCTATGCCACTTGAAGGGACCTTTTAGAGGTTCCCTTGACTGATCCCAACCTTAACTTTTATACTGATGGAAGTTCCTTTGTAGAAAAAGGACTTCGAAAAGCAGGGTATGCAGTGGTCAGTGATAATGGAATACTTGAAAGTAAGCCACTCACTCCAGGAACTAGCGCTCAGCTGGCAAAACTAATAGCCCTAACTCGGGCACTAGAATTAGGAGAAGTGAAAAGGGTAAATATACATACAGACTCTAAGTATGCTTACCTAGTCCTCAATGCCCATGCAGCAATATAGAAAGAAAGGGAATTCCTAACTTCCAAAGGAACACCTATCAAATATCAGGAAGCCATTAGGAGATTATTATTGGCTGTACAGAAACCTAAAGAGGTGGCAGTCTTACACTGCTGGGGTCATCGGAAAGGAAAGGAAAGGGAAATAGAAGGGAACCGCCAAGCGGATATTGAAGACAAAAGAGCCGCAAGGCAGGACCCTCCATTAGAAATGCTTACAGAAGGACCCTTAGTATGGGGTAATCCCCTCCAGGAAACCAAGCCCCAATACTCAGGAGAAGAAATAGAATGAGGAACCTCATGAAGACATAGTTTCCTCCCCTCCAGATGGCTAGCCACGAAAGAAGGAAAAATATTTTTGCCTGCAGCTAACCAAATGAAATTACTTAAAACCCTTCACCAAACCTTTCACTTAGGCATGGATAGCACCCATCAGATGGCCAAATTATTATTTACTGGACCAGGCCTTTTCAAAACTATCAAGCAGATAGTCAGGGCCTGTAAAGTGTGCCAAAGAAGTAATACCCTGCACTGCAGGGCATACATTTCAATCCCTGTATCTTTAACCTCCTTGTTAAGTTTGCCTCTTCCAGAATCAAAGTTGTACAACTACAAATCATTCTTCAAGTGGAGCCCCAGATGCAGTCCATGACTAAGATCTACCACGTACCCCTGGACCGGCCTGCTAGCCCATGCTCCAATGTTAATGACATCAAAGACACCCCTCCAGAGGAAATCTCAACTGCACGAACGCTACTATGCCCCAGTTCAGCAGGAAGCAGTTAGAGCGGTCTTTGGCCAACCTCCCCAACAGCACTTGGGTTTTCCTGTTGAGAGGGGATACTGAGAGACAGGACTAGCTGGATTTCGTAGGCTAAGAATCCCTAAGCCTAGCTGGGAAGGTGACCACTTCCACCTTTAAACATGGGGCTTGCAACTTAGCTCACACCCGACCAATCAGATAGTAAGGACAGCTCACTAAAATGCTAATTAGGCAAAAACAGGAGGTAAAGAAATAGCCAATCATCTGTTGCCTGAGAGCACAGTGGGAGGGACAATGATCCGGATATAAACCCAGCCATTCAAGCAGGCAACGGCAACCCCCTTTGGGTTCCCTCCTTGTATGTGAGCCCTGTTTTTACTCTATTTCACTCTATTAAATCTTGCAACTGCAAAAAAAAAAATAAATAAATAAAATAAATAAATAAATTGAGATTATCATATGGCTTTTATCCATGATTATGTTAACATGGTATATTACATTGACTGGTATGTTGAACCATCTTTGTATTTTAGGAATAAAGCCTTCTTAGTCATGGTTTATAATCCTTTTCATATGCTGTTGAATTTAGTTTGCCAGTATTTTATTGAGAATTTTTGTACCAATATTGATCAATTATATTTATCTATAGTTTTCTTTTCTATCTTTGTCTGGCTTTGGTATCAGGGTTATGTTAGCTTCATAGTAGGAGTTTGAAAGTATTGATCCTTTTTAATTTTTTGAAAGAATTCAGGAAGATTGGTATTAAGTATTCTGTGATAAGTGTCTGGTAATTGGTAGAGGAAATATTTGGTAGAGTTTTCCAGTGAAGTCATCAGCTCCTGGACTTTTCTTTGTGTGGAAGTTTGTAAATTATGAGTAATTTTATTACTATTTATTGGTCTGGTTCAACTTTGGTATGTTGTGTGTTTCTAGAAATTTGTTGATTTCATCTTCGTCATCAGTTTGTTGAAGTACAATTGTTCATAATACTCTCATAATTTATTTCTTTGTTATGATTGCAATGTTTTCTCCTCCATTTTCTAATTTTAGTTCATTGAATCTTGTCTAATTTTTTCAGTGAATCCAGATAAGAATTTGTAAGTTTTATAGATTTTTCTAAAAACTAACTTTTAGTTTCATTTTTTTTCTATGGTTTTTCCTCTTTATTTATCTCTCTATTTTTTATTTCACTTACTCTGCTAGCTATGGGTGTAGTTTGTTCTTTATTTTCTAGTTTCTTGAGGTGTACAGTTAGGTTGTTGGTGTGAGATCTTTCTGTTTTTTGTTAAACCCTCTTACAACTATAAACCTCCCTCTTAGTATTGTTTTTGCTGTGATCCATAAGTTTTGTTATGTTATAGTTCTGTTTTTATTTGTTTCAGGGTTTTCTTTTTCTTTTTGCTATGATTTCTTTGGTTCATTGATTTTTAAGAATGTGTTTCATAATTTCCATATATCTGTGGATTTTTCCAGTTTTTCTCTTGCTGCAAATTTTTAGCTTTATTTCATTGTGATCTGAAAAAATTTTTGCATGATTTTAACCTTTTTCAAATTGTCGAGACTTCTTTTGTGGATGTCCTATTTTGTTTTGTACTGCTTTAATGTAATACCACAGGAAATAATATTTACAATCAACAGAAATTTATGGGATCAAAGATCTGGAGGTTGAGAATTTCAATAGCAAAGCACCAATATTTGGTGAGGGCCTTTTTGCTGTGTCATCACATGATGCAAAAGGAGAAGGGCAAAAAGATAAAAGGAGGATAAACTCATTCTCTGATGACAGCAATAATCCTACCTATGTGGGTGGGGCCATCATGACCCATCACTTCCCAAAGTTCCCACCTTTTAATACAGTTACAATGTCAGTTAAATTTTAACATGAGCTATGGAAGAACAAATATTCAGATTACAGCAGTGGCCTAATATTTGGTTGATACTGAATAATGTTTCATGTGTACTTAAGAAGTACCATTGCTATTGTTGGGTAAAATATCCTATATATGTCTGTAAGGTCCAATTGATCTACATTGTTGTTCAAGCCCTCTTTTCTTACTGATATTCTGTTTGGTTGTTATATTTATTATTAAAAGTGGAGTAGTAAAGTATCCTATTCTTACTGTGTTGCTTTCTACTTCTGTCTTCAATTCTCTCAATGTTTGCTTCATATGTTTAGGAGCTCTGTATTTTGGTGCATAAGTATTTATAACTGTTACAGCTTTTAAGTGGACTATTTTTTTCATTGTGTAATGCTCTTTTTTTCTATTATAACATTTTTTCACTCAAAGTCTGTTCTGTCTAAAAACTGCATAGCTACCTTTATTGTGTTTTTGTTGCCATTTACCACAGAATGCCTTTTTAAAAAAAATCCTATGACTTCCAGCCTATGTTTATTTTTAGAACTAAAATTAATCTCTCTAGAGAAGGCCTTAGGGTTACATCCTTAAAAAATAATTCAGTCAATCTATGTGTTTTGAATGGGAAATTTAATTTATTTATATTTAAAATAATTACTGATAGGCTGGGCGTGGTGGCTCACACTTGTAGTCCCAGCACTTTGGGAGGCCGAAGTGGGTGGATCACTTAAGGTCAGGAGTTCAAGACCAGTCTGGCCAACATGGTGAAATCCCATCTCTACTAACAATACAAAAATTAGCCGGGCAGGGTGGTGCATACCTATAGTTCCAGCAGCTTGGGAGGCTGAGGCTCAAGAATCACTTGAACCCAGGGACGGAGGTTGCAGTGAGCTGAGATCATGCCACTGCACTCCAGCCTGGGTGACAGAGTGAGACTCTTTCTCAAAAAAATAAAAATAAAAATACTTAATAAAATAAAGGAATTACTGATAGGCAAAGGCCGTTTTGTTAATTATTTACTGTATTTCTTTTAGCTTTAGTTTCTCTGGACTCTTTAACTGTCATCTTTTGTGTATTAATAACTTTTTATAGTGAAAATCTTTGATTCTCTTCTCATTTTTATTTGCATATATTCTGTAGATATTTTCTTTGAGATTACCATTAAAATTACACAAAAGATCCTAAAGTTACACCATTCTCTTTTAAACTAATAGCAATTGCAATTCAATTTCATACAAAAACTCTACTTCACAGCTCCATCCCACACATTATGTTATTAGTGCCACAAATTCTTTGTTTGTGTTTTCCAACTAGCATAGATTTACAGTTTTTGTCATTAAAATTTTATGAATTGATATTGAAATTGTACAGGCTACTAAGTTTGTTCTTATATTTACTTTTACTCTTGAACTTTAAATTTCCTTTTGGCTTTGTGTTGCTTTCTAGCATTTCTTCATTTCAACTTGGAGGATTTCCGTCAGTATTTCTGTAGAGAAGATTTAGTGAAGGGCACTTTCTCAACTTTTATTTATTGAGGAAAGTCTTAAATCCTCTTTCACTTTAAAAGACCAGTTTTACTGGATACAAGATTCTTGGATGATAGGGATTGTTGTTGTTTCAGCACCTTAATATATCTTCTACTTCCTTCTGGCCTGCAAGATTTCTGCTAAAAAATTCACTGATTCTTGTATGTAAATTTTCTTGTATGTGATGGCTTTTTTCTTTGTTGATTTCAATTTTTTTTTTTTACTATAGACAGTTTTATTACAATATCTGAGTGTGGTTTTCCTTGCATATGTCCTAGAGTTCTTTCAGCTTTTCTATTTTTTATGTCCATTTAATTCCTCAAATTTAGGGAGCTTGAGGTCATTTTTTCTCAAATAAGCTCTCTCTCAAATAAGAAGTGGTAATGTCTCCTTTTCTATTTCTCAAATTCTAAAATTCCCAAGATATACATGCCTCCTCTTTTGTGTCTAACCGAAGATAGGGGCAAAAGAATGAATGAACAAAAGACTGAAGAGGAATTCTTCACTATTTTGTTTTTAACCCTAGGGAAGAGCCCAAGCTTGGGAAGTTTCTTTCCAGTTGTATATGCTGTGCTGTATGTGGGGAAGAACACGGGCATGCCTTCAAAACACTGCAAATTTTCTACCTCTTTCTCTGGAATCCTTTTTGTTTTTACATTGACCTGGGTACTGTAACTTCTCAACTAGTTTCTAGAGTATAAATGGAGGTATTCTAGTCAGTATATGGTTACTAATTCAGTATCTCTTCCACGAAAGAAGGGTCTGGAGCTTTGTAGTCCATATTCTTGCTGCGTCACTTCTATTTATGTATAATTTATTTATTTTATTTTATTAAGTGGACAAGTAATCACATTATTACTTTTTTTCATCATCTTATTCCTTTGCATTTATTGTATTATAATTTACTCAGGGTGAGCCTGGGATTAAGTTTTCTTTAGAAGAAAAAAACTTTAACTGTGGGGTGAGTTTCTGTAATTTTTTTAACTTGATTTATTTGGGAATAAATGCTTACATAGGACTTTTAACTAGTTCTGATAAGTGACTAATATGGATAGCACTTTTTTAATACCACGAATAGTTCTTATTAAAGAAATCTCTAAAGCTGAAATCTGATGCTTAATCAAACAAATGAAGTGAAGTGGTCAAAGCTTTCTTGTATTTCATTCCCTGGGGGAATCTGTGGTAAAGCAGAGAAAGGAGGCATATGCTACAGTTAAATAATATAGGAGTATGAGAAATCTACAACTGCCACACCTAGAAAGACTAGGATAATCATTCCTGGAAGCAGGCCATGGCGGGCTTCTCATCTAGGAGCGTGCTCCTTGCTGTACATTAACATTAGCTGAGCACTATTGAAAAGTATCAATGTTATGCTTCATCCCTTGATAGTATGACTTAATTTTTTTTGAATGAAGAATCTGATTGAATTAGTCTTGGAAAGTAGCTACCAGAATTGATAGTTTATTATGCCTCCTCGATGATTCTAATTTTCACCCAAATTTGAGAACTATGATTCTAGGTGAAGCCCTTCATGTGGCCATGTGAGATAAGAAAGGTGTAAGGTGATTAGACATACGTTTCTGGCTTTCCAGATCCTGTGTGCAGGAATTCATGTGCACCTGTGTACCCGCTTGAGAGATTTGAGATGTGTACATTGAACTTCTATTTCACACAAATATAAAGAGGATCTTCTCTGATGACCAGGAGCAGCAGTGTGGCAGAAGTCTAGTCATAGATTACGTTATGTCAAAAAGACATAGAAAGAAGGATGATGATTAGAGATTTCTGTCAAGGACACCTGCTTAACTACCCATGGTTAAAGAATAATGTATGTAAATCCCACCACCTCTTTCCAGCACACATAGACTCATACACTTTCTCTGGCATCCAGTACCATCCAGGGTAATAAGTTGAAGTTGAACATGAAATGTCTGCATATGTACCTGAAAAAAATCAATCATTCAGTGGAGACAATAATAACCTACAAATGCTGAGATTCTCAAATTTAAAGTTTCTATGCAAGGTAGGGAGCTCAGAAAACAGATTAGAAAGAAATGGCTACATTTTAATTGTGTTATATGTATAACATAGTTCCACACATCTTATGTTCCAAAAAATAATTACCTTCCTTTCTTAAAAAAAATTCTTGGAGCTTGAGACAGTTTTAATCAATCAGGCTGGATAGAAAACACAGTATATTTAAAGTTTGGCAACTATATACAAATATATTTCGGAAACGGAAAGCATGCCTGAGCTCTGCCATTTGCTGGCTATGAAACTTCAACTATAGCCACCCTAGTTGCCTCATATGTAAACTGTGAATGACTATGTTTTTCCAAAATTATTTTTAAAATTATATATATGTATATATACACACATATAGAAACTATATATATATATAGTGCTGTGTGATATGGTTTGGCTGTGTCCCCACCCAAATCTCATCTTGAATTGCAGCTCTAAGAATCCCCACATGTTGTGGGAGAGACCCAATGGGAGGTAACTGAATCACGGGGGCAAGTTTTTTTCGTGGTGTTCTCGTGATAGTGCGTAAGTCTCACAAGATCTGATCGTTTTAAAAAGGGTGGTTCCCCTGCACTTCTCTCTTCTGCTGCCATGTGAAGAAGGACATATTTGCTTCCTCTTCTGCCATGACTGTAAGTTTCCTGAGGCCTCCTAGGCCATGCTTAACTGTGAGACAATTAAACCTCTTTTCTTTATAAATTACCCAGCCTCAGGTATGTCTTTATTAGCAGCATGAGAATGGACTAATACAGTAAATTAGTAATGGGTAGTGGAGGGCTGCTGTAAAGACACCCACAAATGGAGAAGCCACTACAGAACTGGGTAACAGGCAGAGGTTGGAAAGGTTTAGAGGGCTCAGAAGATGAAAGGAAAATGTGAGAAAGCTTGGAACTTCCTAGAGACTTCTTGAATGGCTCCGACCAAAATGCTGATAGTGATATGGTCAATAAAATCCAGGCTGAGGTGTTTTCAGATGGGGATGAGGAACTTGTTGGGAACTGGAGCAAAGGTGACTCTTGTTATGCTTTAGTAAAGTTACTGGAGGCATTTTGCCCCTGCCCTAGAGATCTGTGGAATTTTGAACTTGAGAGAGATGATTTGGGGGTATCTTGTGAAAGAAATTTCTAAGCAACAAAGCATTTAAGAGGAAGCAGAGCATAGAAGTTTGAAAAATTTAGAGTCTGACAATGCGATAGAAAAGAAACCAATTTTCTGGGGAGAAATTCAAGCCTGCTGCAGAAATTTGCATAACTAACAAGGAGCTGGATGTTAATTACCAAGACAATTAGGAAAATGTTTCCTGGGCACGTCAGAGACCTTTGCAGCAGCCACTCCAATCACAGGCCTGGAGGCCTAGGAAGAAAAAATGGTTTCATGGGTGGGGCCTAGGACCCCCCTGCTGTGTGAAACCTGGGGCTGTGTGTAGCCTGGAGACTTGGTGCCCTGTGTCTCTGCTGCTCCACCTGTGGGTAAAATGGTTCAAGGTACAGCTAGGGCCATGGCTTCGGAGGATTCAAGTCCTAAGCCTTGGCAGCTTCCATGTGGTGTTGAGCCTGTGGGTGCATAGAAGTCAAGAACTGAGGTAAGGGAACCACTGCCTAGATTTCAGAGGTGTGCTTCAGGGGCAGAACCCTCATGGAGAACCTCTGCTAGGGCACTGCTGAAGGTAAGTGTGGGGTCAGAGCCCTCACACATGTTCCCCCACTTGCAGCACTGTCTAGTGGAGCTGTGAGAAGAGAATCACCATTCTCCTGACCCAAGAATGGTAGATCCACCAATTGCTTGCATGGTGCACCTGGAAAAGCCACAGACACTCAACACCAGCTCCTGAAGGCAGCCAGGATCTTGGTCAATAGGTCTTACAGGTGCTTTAAATTTTAAAGTAGAATATTTTATTTTTGAGAGAGAGAAAAAGGAACTCTCCCTATAAAATTGGTTTTGGCCAAGGACCCTATGAATATGTCAGTTATGGAATTCCATAAAGCAATTTATTTTTTTATTTGGCCACGACTTGCACATTTTTCCTTGATTAGAGTAGCAATTGTGGCCTTACCACTGTTATTAACTAAAATCCATGGTAGTACATAGAAAAAGAGGCTCAAACTAACAGGATTGACATGAATTTTGGCAGCGTTTTATTCTATCATGAGCATAAAAATACATATTTTTACAGGCTTTTATGCATTCAGGCTTTCCTTTCAATTCCTAATGTCATTTATCAAATAAAACTGTCTTTTCTTTAATAAGCAAAGGGAATATTTGACTAATACTCACATATATTCTTTGCTGATTAGTGGCATATTTTTCTGCTATGCACAGGAATTATGTGCCATGTATGGATTCAGAATTGAATATTTTCAACTTCAGTGCCAAAAAGACTTTATGAGGAAAGGTAGTTTTAAAAAAATACGTTCATCCTCTATTTGAAATATTAGCTGCCCCTCCAAGATAAAGAACTGATTCATTCCAATAATTGGCTTTTTAAACCCATGTATATTATGGTTTTCATTTTGAATGAAACCTAACGCACCTATGAAATTCTGAGTAGGCATCTTTCATTACAGACTTAAAATTGGTAGTAAGCCTCTTCAGCAAGGTACAGAATAACTTCTAGAGAGCAAAGTAAACTTAAATGAGAGTAGAATAAAGCAAGTGTTATTATTTCTCATGGCAAAAAGCTGATTGTAAACACAATAATTTTATAACTTCTTTTAAAATTTTGAAGCATAATACTTGCAAATTTCTCACGTTTACATGAAAAACTACAATGTTTTATATCTTTAAGTGTGATATTATATTAGCTCACACATAAATCAATAGCTGCAACATTTCTTAATCCCTGTTTATAGAAGTGGAATGAATTTTGTGTCTTTATTACACACTTATTTTACAGATAAAGGGAAAGGCTCAATTAATGAAGAAAACAACAAAAGGTTATGTTTGTACTTATAAGCCATTTGTTGATACATTCCCCACATTTACCAAAAGTGTCATGTCACAGAAATGTAGAATCAAAGAATATTAGAACCCTAAGAGACTCTAAAGTATGTTCCCATGTAATGCCATTTAATTAATAAATAATTGCAGGTAGTGTGTCCAAAATTGGTTCCTTCTGGTGGGTCCTTGGTCTTGCTGACTTTAAGAATGAAGCCGTGGACCCTCACGGTGAGTGTTATAGTTCTTAAAAATGGTGTGTCCGGAGTTTGTTCCTTCAAATACTCAGATGTGTATGGAGTTTTTTCCTTCTGGTGGGTTCATGGTCTTGCTGACTTCAAGAGTGAAACTCCAGACCTTTGAAGTGAGTGTTACAGCTCTTAAAGGTAGTGCGTCTGGAGTCGTTCGTTCCTCCTGGAGGGTTCATGGTCTTGCTGACTTCAAGAGTGAAGTTGCAAACCTTCACAGTGAGTGTTACAGCTCATAAACATAGTGCAGACCCAAAAAGTGAGCAGCAGCAAGATTTATTGTGAAGAGCAAAAGAACATAGCTTCCACACAGTGGAAGGGGACCCCAGTGGGTTGCCGCTGTTGGCGCTGGTGGCCATCTTTTATTCCCTTATTTGGCCCTGCCCACGTCCTGCTGATTAGTCCATTTTACAGAGTGCTGATTGGTCCGTTTTTACAGAGTGCTGATTGGTGCATTTACAAACCTTTAGCTAGACACAAAGTGCTGATTGGTCCATTTTCACAGAGTGCTAATTGGTACATTTACAAACTTTTAGCCAAACACAGAGCGCTGATTGGTGTGTTTCAATCCTTTAGCTAGACACAAAAGTTCTCCAAGTCCCCACCTGACCCAGAAGCCCAGCCACCTTCACTTCTCAGTAGGAAGGTGGAAAATCTTCACCAAAGCCACAAAATTTATAAATGATAGTATTTTAACTTTTGGTTTCATTCATTTACTTGTTTGTGTATCTGTTTTTATTTTTTTTTGGTTGTGTATTTTTAAAAGTGATTAAGAAATAGGATACTGATATGACCAAGGTTTTTTAAAGTCTCTGTGTATTCATTCATATGTACATTTCAGATCCTTTAACCCAGTAATAATTGCTAATTTGAATGTTGATTTATCATTTCCTTTCCTTTATTGTTTACTACATGTGTATTTGTTAATAACATGTGTGATGTTCATTTTCTACATTTTGGAACTTTAAAATGTAAGCAGTACTATACATACAGTATTCCTCTGAGACATTTGATTGCTCATGATTTTTGAGATGCAACTACATTAGTGTGTAAGATGTAGTGCACTCATTTTTGCTGCTGTACCTTATTCTATTTATGAATATATCACTACTTATTCTTCTATTCTCCTTTTGACATACAATTCAGTTATTTTTGGTTTCTTGTTATTACAAGCATTACTGTTATGATCATTCTTGTACATGTGTTTGGTTAACAAGGTCAAGGGTTTCTCTATGTTATATGCTTGATGGTATTTTGCTGACTCAGGATGTTTGTCCATATTTTTACTAGGTAATGGGAAACTGCTTTTCAAAGTAGCTGTATCAAGTTTCCCTTCCTCCTGCAACTAATGAGAATTTCTGGTGCTCTATATCCTGGACTAATTTTGTTATTGTTAAACATTTTGAGTTGGGTGACCTGGTAGGTTTCAACGATTACTCATTTTTGTTTTAATTAGCACTGCTCTGAATTCCAATGAGGTTGACCATATTAAGAAGTTTAATTTTGATAATATTTTACATTTTTTCACATTGATAATATGGTTAATGTCATATATTTTTGAATAACAAATAGTCCCCAACAAAATATATGTAAGAAATTATTAGCCAGATTTACACTATGAAATTAATTGTAGACATCCACCTGCTCCTTACTGTCCCCTGCAAAGGGAGATTTTGGCTCCTTCCTGTTTTACTTTTCTGATGAGAGTGAATGTAAGAGAAGAGTGATGGAATTTCTGGTTATTGACAAATGTTGAAATGAAATATTTCAAGGTTTGTAGCAATATCCTTCTGGGTGGAACTCAATTTTTCTGTACTTTCCTTGTTGTACAGGATTTCTTAGCACACTCATCAGTTCCTACCTCCAACACAAGCTGAACATTTCTTTCTTCAAACTTTTATTAATTGTAAACACAAATATTATATGGAACTTTTATTAATCGTAAATGCATTTTTTCTTCCCTGTGCTTTTCTGGTTTTTAGAGAAAAGGCTCTGACCATCATTTTATTTTTTTTGTAACTAGAGCTTTTTCTTGCAGAGATATAAATGCTGATACTTACTGTTTTGTAATTAAAAAAAAATAAAGGGCAGTAGCTGTCAGAGGATAAATGATTTTTAGTCAGCATTAGGCTGGCAAAGGTTCAAACTTTTGACCACAATGTCATAACCTTCTGTTTCCTTCACACAGTAGCAATCTCATGAGCTTATAAACTGATTGTCTTAAACTGACTTAGTCTTTCATTACATATGCCAAAACTTATCTTTCTTTGTAATCAAAACTTTTAAAACAAGTAAAAGTATTTTTCAAAGTATGTCATTTTGTAAATAAAACTTTTTTTTTTTTTTGGACAGAGTCTAACTTTCTTGCCCAAGGTGGAGTGCAGTGGCATGATTGCACTTCACTGCAGCCTCAACCTCCCAGGCTCAAGTGATCCTTCCACCTCAGCCTCTTGATTAGCTGGGACTACAGGTGTGTGCCACCATGCTCAGCAATCTTTTTCTCATTTTTTGTAGAGATGGGGTCTTGCTATATTACCTGGCTAGGCTGGTCTCGAACTCCTAGGCTCAAGTGATCTTCCCACCTCGACTTCCCAAACTGTTGGTATTATAGGTGTGAGCCATTGCACTGGTATAAAACTTCTTCTTAATTGGATATGAGCTTATTCAGGCAATAGTATACATCATCATTGTCACAAATTATAAGGTTGGGAAAAAATGCTTTGTGAAACAGAAAAATAATTGATATCACAATCTAATTCTGTTTGAATATATATTACACACTGCTTTGATTAGAACACAGTCTCTGGAATAAGATAGACCTGTATGCAGACATTGGCTCCCCTCATAGCTTGATGATCTTGGGACAATTATTTACTTTCTTTGAGACTCATTTCCTAATCAGTTAAAATGGGGTTAATATGAAACATCGTCACAGTGTGCTTTGAACATCAAAAAGCAACTGCATATCAACTCAAAATTTGGATAGCAAGGAGACTTTCACGCTTGGTCTGAGCAGAGGCTTATAGTTAATAGCTTTTCAGCAATAAATAAGTAAATAAATAAATACATGGAATAACCTAGGTGTTCCTCAGTAAGGGGATGCATTTATGAAATATTAAATATTCATATTATTGATTACTATCTGGCAGTTAAAATGAATATATTATTTTACATGAACTACTAGAGATAATAGGAAAATATAATGCTGAATAGGAAAGCAGGTTAGTGAGAATAGACACTGACACACACATACACACTATATATATACATATATATAGTTAATACATTTAAATGTGGCAGAAATAATCAGGAACTGAAAGAATACATGTCAAATTCATTATGGGAGTTTTCAGAGATGTTAATAAATAAATGAAACTGTTATTGAGTGCAAATAAGACTTCATTTTTTGTGTAACTTTCTAAAAAGTTTGAAGCTAAGTTTATAAGACATATGTACACTATACACGAAGAAACATATATTTACACTAAGAGTGTGTATATTTATATGGGTATATATGTATGTATATGAATACACACACAAGGGGATGTCAAACGTTCAAAAATGAAATTAAAAGATAAAACTAAAAAATGTAAATTGATTTTCTCAACATAAGCTCCATCAAGTTTAAGACACTTTTGTAAGTGATGATACCAGCAATTTAGTTCATCCCTAAAGAGATGAGCATCCTGGGAATTTATCCATGTTAATTCATTCTTTTTTACATTATGCACTGAAGAGAAATGGTTGTCCTTAAATTTTTTTTTAATATTAGAAAACAAGAAGTCAAAAAGAGCCAAATCAGGACTATGGGGAGGCTGACTAATGATTTCCCATGGAAACTTTAACAAAATTACCCTTGCTTGATGGGAGAAATGAGCAGGAACATTGTGACGGCGGAGAGAGACTCTCTGATGAAGTTTTCCTGGGTGTTTTTTTGCTAAAACTTTGGCTAACTTTCTCAAAACACTCTCATAACAAGATGAGATGTTATCACTGTTTGTACCTCCAGAAAGACAACAAGGAAAATGGCTCAATAATTCCAAGAAACAGTTGCCATAATCTTTGCCCTTGACTGGTCCACTTTTGCTTTAACTAGAACAGTTTCACCTCTTGGTAGCCATTGCTTTGATTGTGCTTTATCATTGGGATCATGCTAGTAAAGTCTAGGATTTTGACCCCACTTGTTTAAATTTCAATTGGAAGCTTTGCTCTTGTCTGTGGCTGACCTGACTACAACAGTTTGGCACTCATTGAGTGAAAAGTTTGCTCAACATCTATTTTTCAGTAAGAATTGTGTAAGCTAAATCAATTGAGATGTCAGTAGTGTTGGCTATTGTTTCTTCTGTTTATCATTGGTATGCTTCATTCAGGGCATGAACAAGACGACTTTTGTCCTTGCAAATTGATGTGGATGGTCTGCCACTGTGGGCTTCATCTTCAATATCCTTTCATCCATTCTTAAAATGTGTTATTCCTTTGTAAACCCCTGATTTCTTTTGGGCATTGTCTCTTTAAACATTTTGTAAAACGTCAATGATTTCACTATTCTTCCACCCAAGTTTTAACATAAATTTAATGTTTGTTCTTGCTTTGATTTTAGCAGAATTCATGTTGCTCTGATAGGGGCACTTTTCAAACTGATGTTTTATCTTTCTTAATACCTCCAACTAGATCCTATTTATACATATTTTAAGTTAGTATGAGTTTATTTTGGTACAAAAAATCTTTTGACATTAATGTGTGTTATTATATGCATTTTCATAAACTTTTAGAAATTCTGCTGTTTGTGTGTGTATGTGTGTGTGTGTGTGTGTGTATGTATGTATGTGTTTATGTCTATACACTAAGAAATAAAGCCATAAAAAAATGAAGGAATTGGAGATAAAATCTAAAAATGAAATGTCACTATTGCCTGCAATGTTATTCCAACTAAGCTTAAGCATTTCTCCTTGGAGCATATTTCTGAGGGAACAGGTTGAAAAGTAGAAGTGCTTGAACATTGCTGAACAATGCAAGAATTTTCTCCAAAATGATTTAATGGGTTCAATTACTTTGGAGAAAATATCTCCTCAGCAGGATGTGAGAGCTTCTGCTTCCTCACACCTTTGCCAACACTAGATATTATCAGTACTTTGATTTGACAACATTGGTTAAGAAAAATGTTAAACAGAATTGTTTATGGTAGAAAACTTGTCTTTGTTTGAAAGGGAATTCTTTAAAATTTTATATTAGGTTTGATATTGATATTTTAGGAAAATATATGTTGTCAAGTGAAAAAAATATCCCTCCATTTCCAGTAGGATATATGTGTAATAATATATATTTATATTAAGGGATGAATGGAAGCATTCTTGTCTTGTTCCAGATCTTACTGAAAAGGCATTCAGTTTTTCTCTGTTTAGTATGGTATTAGCTGTAGATGTGCCATATATGGCCTTTATCATTTTGTGGTTTGTTCCTGGTATATCCAATTTGTTGTGAGTTTTTATCATAAAAGGATGTTAAATTTTATCAAAAATCTCCAGCATCTTTTACAATAGTCACATGGTTTGTGTCCTGATTCTGTTGATGTGATCTATCACATTTATGAATTTGCATATTTTGAACTATCCTTGCATCCCTGGGATAAATGCCAATTGATTATAATAAATGATATTTCCAATATATTGTTAAATTAGGTACAACAGTGATTTGTGTACAAATTTTGCACCTATTTTCAACAGAGATATTGGCCTGTAGTTTTCTATTTTTCTTGTTTGTTTTTGTTTGGTTTTGTTATTAGGGTAATGCTGGCCTCATAAAATATATTTGGATGTATTTCCTTCTCTTCAATTGTTTGGAATAGTTCAATAATAATCGGTACTAGCTATTTTTTAAATATTTGGTAGAATTCAGCAGTGAAGCAGCAGTCCTAATTTTTTTTTTAATGGGAGACTTTTTAATGATCTAATTAGTTAGCACCTATCTGTTTATGTTTTCTATTTCTTCATGCTTCAATCTTGCTAGGTTGCATATGTCCAGAAATTTATATATTTGTTTTAAGTTTTCCAATTATTTGGTGTATAGTTATAATGGTATCTAATAATCCTTTATAGTTCCATTGTGTCAGTTGTAATGTCTTCTTTTTTGTCTGTGGTTTTACATATTTGGGTCTTACTTTTTTCTTAGCTAGTCCAGTTGGTGATTTGTCAATTTTGTTTAACTTTTCAACAAATTAATGTGTCATTTTGTTTTTCCTTTGTATTTTTTTAGGCTTTCTATTGTTTAGTTCTGTTCTGATACTAATTATTTCCTTTTACTAATTTGGGGTTTTGTTTGTCTTTGCTTACCTATTTCCTTGAGGTATATAGTTAGGTTATTTATCTGACATCATTCTATTTCTGTTTTTTATATACGTCTTTATTGCCATAAATATTCCTCTTAGTACTGGTTTTGCTATATTTCAAATATGTTAGTATGTTATGTTTCCATTTTAATTTGTTTCAAAGTATTTTTTATTTTTTTAATTTCTATATTGACCCATTGGTTGCTCAGGAATATGTTTACTTTTTATGATTCACACCTATATTCAAATCATCAGCTTATTTTAAATTCATCTTCAAGAATTGGTATCTCTTTTGGTTTCTGAATCATGTCTTCTCTGTGTAGTTTAATATTTAAGCTGGGTTGGCTGTTCATTCTCTGGAGTTCTTAGATATCTAAACTTTCATAAAAGTAAGATTAAAGTTCTGGTATAATATTTCAAAATGTCAAATGTAAACAATTGAGTTAATAATAAACCTATCTATTGCAGGTAATTAATTTGACAATGTTGCTTTTGGCTATATTATTCATACAGTATAATAAAATGTGCATAATTTTGTTTGCTTTGATGCCAATTTGACAAGCATATTTGTAGCTAATTAATGAGAAATAATTTCCACTTTTTATAGATGACCTATGCCATAAGCTTTAACTTAACATAATTGTATATAAACATTATGTTCATATTACATGTATGAATTATAAGCAGATAAATACTTTGAGATGAGCATTGTCTTTTATCTTATGTTTCTTCTTCACCTATGACTACTGGAGTTTGAGTGATTGTGCTTCATAAACTACTTTTTTTGAGATTCCTTTTCTCAACAACTCCAGTTTAAGCAGAAGACTGTTGTCATCTTTATTTGAAGTGCAGTTCAATACTATGTGGAGAGGCCACAAACATGCCACTGTATCATAAAAGTTGCATGAAAAAATATTTGAAAATGGTTATGGCATGATTTAAAGTTGTTTCTTGGTTTTTCCTTGGTTTACTCCTTAAGAAAATGAAAATCTTTTGTAAACATTAAGAATGAAAATAATATGTTTGATTTTAATGGAAACTATATTACTTTATAGAATCATATTTAAAAATTTAGTAAATTAACTATTTATGCTGTCTTTTTCTTCTCATAATTAGCTAGGTATAAGGCCTGAAATGAAATTCATTCTCATTAGTCTTTCACTGACAGACCACTTTTATCAATTGCAAGCTGGGCTTGTATGCAATATATCAGTATGTGTGAATTTGTCATTTTCATCACAAGATTTGACCCCTGTTGAAATGTGTCTACCTGAGTCACAGAGACTATATACTGAAATTACAGTGGGAACTCTGATTCTGAGAGTTCACCAGAGAGATAATTAAATTAAGCTTGTTCACCTTCAAAAAGGAAATTCTGTTAACATTTGGAATGGACGGCAATAATGAAAGCATAAAACTCAGTTTACTTGACATCCTGATAAGGATGACAAATTAATGCTGATTTTTTGGGGGTGGGGGAATTAAAATTGAAATGATGAGATAAGAATCTTATAAGCACTGGATCTTTTTCTAAACAGCTTAAGGATTTTTTAATACTCAGTTTCACCAAGCTTTATTTTGTTTACTGCCTGCCATATGCCAGGGACTATGAAACATTTGGAGGTATAAGTAAGAGTGAAATCTGTCCATGTCCTCCTAGAGCTTATATTTGGTCATAATAAATATTTAAACAAGTATTAATTATGCTTACTCTGAAGTGGAATGTGAAATGTAGACATGTGCTGGAGCTGCCCATTTAGTCCTGTGAGAGTTGATTATTAAATATTTAAGAATTTTGCAAGCTGGTTTGGGAGCTTGAAATTGGTCACGGTAGGAATAGACACATGTTGGAAGTTGATACATGCTGAAAATCATCTCCCTACATTCCTCCCAGCTGCTTTCCCAGAACACCACTAGGTATACCAAGGTGACCCCAAAATGGTGGCCCAGTCAAGATAATACTGAGGTATTCATTCAAACAAATATCCTTACAGTAATTTTTAGTGTTAATTTAGTGAGGCTATTGAGTTTTGGGTATGAAAAGGATGGAAAGTTATATATGCGCTTGATAATCTTAAGCTTTTCTATACACTAAGTAATTTGGCACTTTTCCAGACATTCCTACTCCATTGCAAAAATAAATAAATAAATAAGGTAATGCTACTAACCATATTACTCTCCTAAGAGGCAGTTTAACAAACTCCATAGGACCTAAAGCAGCATCTCAAATCATTCTTTCAATCACATGGTTCACCCTCTGAGAAGAATTTTGGCACATGGATTTAGCTCCATATTGTTACACTCCCAGTCCTCTACCTTGGGCCCTATAATGTTTAGCTTCCTTTATAAAACTGATCACCAGAAGCTGCCAAACTGGCCTTTAGCTTAGCCTATATTTGTTGTAGATACCTGCCTGTGGGCAGTGGTTTATGTGGCTGTGTTGACTTCTAGTAACACCTTCTAACTAATAAATATTCCAAGGTAGTCCAGAATGTTGAGCTGTCTCTTTTATTTCACTTTTTCTATGCCTTCTTTTTAGGGCTACCAGATAAAATGCAATACAATATTATTCATTGTTTATTTGAAATTAAAATTTAATCAAGAATACTGTAATTTTATTTTCTAAATGGGACAACCCTGTTCCTCTCTAAATTGCGGTCTGACCCCCAGAGTTGCCACATAATTTTGGAAAGTATATAAGCATTGTAGATTTGTGATCAAAGGCAGTGGAAGTGAAGAGGAGATCATCTTTTTAATCTGATGTTTTTCTGTGAAAAGTTGCAGAGGCTTACAGGCTCATCTCTAAAAATCCTATTGAAGAATATGTTTCTTGTATACTTTGAGCTTAGAAAAAAGGAAAATAAAGTTTAAATTGGACAATGTAACCATTTTTCTGAGGGATGGTACATCAGAATGTCTCCAACAACAAATTAAAAAAAAAAACCAAAAAGAGTGAAATAACCTAAGCATATAAAAGAAGGGAAATCTCTAGGTCATAATATATAATTTTAAATTAAAGCCTTTATATGAGATTCCAATGTAATTATTTGAGATTCCAACATGTGAGGTTTGAAACTTATTAAAAATAGCTTCTCAGTATCTGTAAGGCCTATTTCATGGGATATTGGTTAGATAGTAGGCATTCAGGTCTGTCTATGTCAGTTTAAGTTCGATCTCTGTTTTCATTCACTATGTGACCATGCCAGTTACTTAATTTTCTGGGTCACAGTTTGGTCATTTCTAAAACAAAGGTAAGTAAGTCACCTTACTCATAGAGTTGTTGTTGGATGGTAATGTGTGTAAAACTCTTAGAACATTGCCTGGCACAAGATATATAGTCAATATGAATTAACTATTAGAATTATCATCATTATTACCTGCTAAAAGAAAAAAGATGATTACCAAACAAAGAACTGTGAAAAAAAATGTGGAAAATGGTTAATAAGGAGTAGTAATCAATGTGTAGTATGTTAAGATACAGTATGGGATTTTCATGGTTTATATTATTACTTGTGCAGTAAGTCTATGAAATAAAATGGGGGAGTCAGGTGAAAAGTATTCCAATTGTCTGGCAGCCTTCATGGGGTGTATCTTTTGCAATGGGTAGCAGTAAGTTGATGGAAAGCCGAAAGAGTGCACTTTTCATGTGAAAATTATTCATTTTTTATTGAGTCAATTTAAAAAATATTTTTACTAAGGACTTGTTGAAATATCTTGACAGCTCAGCACAGTCTTTCAACTTTAATGTTATATTTATAGAAGTAGCTAAGTGTATAATATCAATAGTTTTATGTATTAGTAACTATTGAGTAATACAAATCAAACTACAAATCATAAATTGACAACAACAAAATAGAAGCCTTTTAATTGACATTTAATAATCACTATTACTTTAGAGGAATAGCCTTCTAAAAAGATGAACAATCTGCTTTTGTTCACAGATAATTTCCTAATTTTAGCTAGGATGACTTTTGCAGGAAATCCATTTCCTGCAGACTCTATTATTCCTTCTTTTCAGTCGGTGCATATACACAGTATATGCAAATAGGAAGATTTCTAACAGTCAGAACACTAGCAATGCAACTTCTTAACAATAACAGCCACAGACAAAATTTTAAATGGGCACATTTATGAAAAGGGTTCATACTGTTCAAGGTCCTCCTCTCTCCTTTTGGTGATCATTGTAGCTATTTATTTATGAGTTATGGGAAATGACAACTATGGTCTTAAACTTAATTTAGAAAGTATTTTAGTTGCCCAAAAAGAAATGGTTTATTCACAGATTGTTTTTAAAGTAAAAGGAAAATAGAAAAATTCTACTGAATTCTAGACAAAATTTAATGGAATTATGTCATTTAAAATGAAGTACTTTATAGCTTTTAATGAAGTGTCTTATCAGCCTTTTAAAATTCTGTTTCTGTGCTAGTTACCATTGAGTAATTTTATTTCATTCTTCCAAATTACCCTTTCATTTTTCCCAACCTGATTCTGTTCTTTATGAATTGAAAATCTCTGTCGAATAGTTTATTCTTACTATTTTCCCCTCATATTCTATGCTATAAAAAGCAGAGTTGGGCCAAACCAACTTTGGTTCTTTAGAGTGATATTTTGTAAGCCAGGATGCAGGTAGGATTATTGTCTTTAGGGCTGTTGATTTGCCACTTATTCTTTTCTTTAAAAATAACTTTATAATGAATTTTACACAATTATTTTAGTTGCTTAGTTTTACAAGGCATTAGCTACCCAAACTTTTACAGGAGTCTAAAGGTATGCCACAATATAGTTTTTGTAACTCCGCAGAGTTCCCTCTTGTATTATTTCCATGCAGTTTTTTTAATTCAAGTGGCAGTTTTTGAACAACCTTTTTAGAGCTCTCCTAGCTATTTCCTCTCCTTGCCCCTTTAATCTACATCTCCTCATTTATTTTCTCCATTGTGTCGTTGCTGCTCATTTTGGATTCAGTTCCCAGCAGGTTATCTTCACTGTGGGGTTTTGTCATGATGTTTGCTGGTGAAATTTAAAATGAATCTTTGAAGATGTAATCAAATTGAGATGATGTCATTACTGGATATGAACTGACCCCAAATCCAATGACTGGTGTCTTTTTAAGAGAAAGAGAGAGCAAGACGCAAAAGGGCCATGTGAAAATGGAGGCAGAAAGCTACAAGCCAATGGGTGCCAAAGACTGTTGGCAACTACCAGAGGGTACAAAAGGACAAGGAAGAAGTGTTTTGTAGAACCTCTTGAGGCAGCATGGCTCAGGTGACACCTTGATTTCAGATTTCTAGCCTCCAGAACTGTAAGAGAATACATTTCTGTTGTTTTAAAACACAGTTCATGGTAGTTTGTTATGGCAGCCCTAGAAAACTAACACAGAGCCCTTGTACATTTGACTGTAGCCTTTGACTTATTATTATAAAAATGCTATCATCAATGACAAAATCAATTCCACTTTAATATTATTACCACATTTGATCAAGAGAGGGAATATTATGTAAGACAAATGTGAAAGAGCATTGATGATATTTCTTGGGTTCCTGCTCTGTGCTAAGATCTGTGCTAAATGTTCTACACAGATTAGTTCATTTGCTATTCACAGCAACCTTATAAGGTACTAATCATTGTCATCCACCTTTTTATAGATGAAGTGTTTAAAAGATAGAGAGGTTTTGTTTTTCTCCTTAAAGCTAGTTGAATAGCAGAGCCATGATCAAATCTCAGTTCTGGCAAGCATTAAAGTCAGAGTTTGTGAACATCGTACAATAATAGCATTTCCTTCACAGCAGGCATTCAAAGATTATTAAAAAGGGAGATAATGTTGTTGTTAATCATGCTTAGAAGTTTAAAAACTAATATTTTATTCAAATAAATAATTTCCTAGAACCACAAGATTTGAAAGAGAGGCAGAAGTTTGTGGAACTTTGTCTGCTTGTGTTAATCACTCTCACTCCCTGCCTGCCCCTAGCACTTCTTCTCTGCAGCCCCACACAAACACTGGTCTTTGCAAAACACAGGTTAAAAACGGACGTCATCATTTTAGTGTAAGGCAAATGAGACTTACAGAGACAAATTGACTTTTCCACAAACGTTGTATCAGATCATGTCAGAGCTGAGATCAATGAATGTCCTGCTGTGAAGGAGAAGATGAGCCAATACTTTTACAGCATAATTGATATGGGCCATCTGGGCTTCAGATTTTTCTTATCACAGATAAAATAGGAAGCTCAGGCATTACAAAGCAAACTATCCCACAACTGTAGGCAGTACCATGAACAGCTGTGAGCAAAGTGCTTTTTATGAAATAACACAGATGTTCTTCATTACAAATATTACTGAGCCATTAAATGCCATTTTAAATAAAGATGATTTACAAAGGTAATAATTGATAGTGATTGAGGATGCACACATCTTGGCCGTGTATAAAATGCACTATCTTCTATACATTACTTATTAGGCCTGATAAAATACAGATTTCTTGAGCCTAATGAGAATGAGGTGAATTGGAACTAACTGCTGAAAGTTTTCTTTTACTTTCCTTGCATCTAATCATTGGAAAAATGAATTGACCTTAGGTGAGCATGAAAAATATTTCAAATTTTATTTTTGTCAAAACCCCTAAATATGTAAAGCTTTGAAATCTGGGTTTTGTAACAGTCTGGCTTCCCTAAGGCACATTAAGTTTTTCCAAGATCAATTAGTTTTAAATTTCACCTGATGAAAATGTGATAGCTGAAATGAGTTGCCCTAGTCTGCACTCCCGAATGTTAGACTATCTTTTATGATCCTATTTCTTGGAAATAAGATTGGGATAATAAATGGCCATAAAAGGATTAAAGCTAAACATTGAAAATTTTGAAAGAAACCAAAATAATTGGGGTCAATTGAGATATGTATTTAAATACAGAAACTTTTAATGCTCTCAATGTATCAAGCCATCAATCTGTAACCAGCAACCATTGATTGTCTCAGTTGCTAAGTCACTGATGTATACATTAAGCATTTTCTAATATGTCTATACCACCCTGAATTCCACTACATGGAAGATTCAAATAACTCTCTGGAATGATAACAGGAGAGGGAGGCCATTATACCATGTACATTAATAGCTTGTGCCTCAGGCTACAGGTGAGTCTGAAACAGCTTGATATCATGGTATAAAAATCAGTGCCATTGTAATAATTAGTTATTTTGACATTTCTTGCAAATTTCAGCCATATGACTCTCATATTTCTCAGTTCATAAGTAGACATTAACTGAACTGGAAACAGCTTGCACCTTTTCTTCAAAAATCTTAGCCCAGAGCTTCCATGCTCAGATCAATTTTTGAAAGTCCTGCCTTAAGTAGGCATAACCCTGTCTTGACTCTGAACCTAGATCCCTGCCTGATCTGATGGCAAATTAGAAACTTCTATACAAGTCAATGGGGTTTAGACAGAATCTTTTGCCTTAGTGCCCTGGGTTTACTCATAAGATATTTAAACATGCCTGGAGTACGACAGTACAAGTTTTAGAGGTCAACTTACGGAACATTTTTGTGACTGTGGGGCAGGCAAAGATTTCTTAAACAAGACACAAAAATAACCATAAATCTCAAAAAAGATAAATTGGATTATAATAAAATTAACAACTTTTTTTTTTTTTTTTGAGAGAGTCTCGCTCTGTCACCCAGGCTGGAGTGCAATGGCACAATGTCGGCTCACTGCAAGCTCTGCCTCCTGGGTTCATGCCATTCTCCTGCCTCAGCCTCCTAAGTAGCTGGGACTACAGGCGCCCACCACCATGCCCGGCTAATTTTTTGTATTTTTAGTAGAGACAGGGTTTCACCATGTTAGCCAGGATGGTCTCGATCGCCTGACATTGTGATCTGCCCACCTTAGCCTCCCAAAGTGCCCAGATTACAGATGTGAGACACTGCACCTGGCCCTAAAATTAACAACTTCTGTAATTAAAAAAAAAACATTAATAGTGTGAAAAAATAACACAGAGAGTAGGAAAAAATCTGCCTGAATGAAGGACTTATAATCTCGAATATATAAGGAATGCCTAAAAAATAAGAAAAAAATCTAACAATCTAATAGCAAAATGGGAAGAAAATGTGAAGACACCATAAAGAAAATAACCAAATGACCAATATAGATATAAAAAGGTGTCCCACTTCATTAGTCATTAAGAAATGCAAATCAAAATTCTAAGGTGAAGCCATTAGAATGGCTAAGATGAAAAAATACAAAATGTCAAGTGTGATGAAGATGTGTAGCCAAACCAAATTTTTCTACATTGCTGTGGATGTATTAATTACTACAGTGCCTTGGGAAAGCAGTTAATCACATTTACTAAGGCTGAGTTGCGTATTTCATGATGTAGCAATGCTGTATCAAGAAAAAACCCACAGAAATAGAAACAGGTATATATGCTTAACAAAAGACATGAGTTAGAATGTTTATAGTGCTACTATTCATAATTGTTTCACACTAGAAATTACCCATGTGACCATTAAGAAAAGAGTGAATAGATAAATTGCAGTATATTGACACATGGAGTAGTATTCAGCAATGAGAATTAATGACCTACAACTACACATGATAATATTCATGAATATTACAAAATACTTTTGAATTAGAAAAGCCAGAGGCAAAAGCATGCATACTGTATAATTTAATTTATAAAAATATAAGAATATTCAGATAAAACTAAAGTGTGCTTTTAAGGGGTGGCGTAAAAGGGACCTTAAGGAGATGGTAGTAGATAGAAGGCATCATTATACTGACATCTAGAACCCCAATGATGTTCTGTTTCTTGTTTTGGGTCCTGATGATGTAGGTGTGTTTAATTTGTTTAAAGTTATCAAACTGACGCAATATTTGCACTTTCATTTGTATTACACTTCAATAAAATGTTTAAAATATATATGTGTGAGATACTTAAAGGCAGGCTGTTTTTCCTATTCCTAATTTTACCTCTTATTTTCTGGACTAATTTGTCCATCTGTGGACCTTGGTTTCTGTTTATCAAACAGAGGTTCGTTCCAAAAAGCTAAGCTTATTGCTAAGAGCTCTCTCCATTCCTATGCAGTTTCTTTCTTCATCTAGCTCTGGATCCTGCCTTAATAAATATTGCACATCACTTTGATGGTGTTCTTTCACCAGATGTAAATAGCTATCACCAGTGACATAAAGCCCCTCCAGTCTTGACAATTTCTACTAGTTTCCTTTGTGGATACATGGGCACTGATGTCTGGACTGGCCAGGGGTTTTCTAAGCCCCTAGAGATTTAATGATTTGAGCTATTAATTAGTGCCAGAAAGGACTAGTTTTTATGAGTTTGGTGAGTTTATATTAGTCCTATCTAAGCCACCTCTGGGATATTCTTCCTTGTTCTCTTCTACTCACGCAGAAACACACCATTTATTCTTAAATTCCTATGAGAAAAGCCCCATTAGCCTATGTTATATAACTGAAAAGTTGTCTGATTAGGTTAGGTTTGGACTTTACATTTTGAGGCAGATAAAACTGGTTCCTATATGATTATTTAAAAGAAGTGAGGCTTTATAAATTCTATGATGTTGTAACAGTTGAGATTTAAGGTTTTATATAAAACATTTTTAGGTAGTATCAAATAAGAATAGAAATTTCTCCTTTTTTGATGACATGAAAAGTCAGTCTGTAGAAGAACAAAGTTTCAAAATCATGGGTGAATTATTCTGATAAGTTATCTTTCATAGTTCACCACATTTCCCATTCAATAGCTACTGAACATGCTGAATAGGATAGTTATTATCAGGGAATTACCTTATTCTTTTCTGGCCACTTCTTTCAAACATAGTTTATCAGATACTAATTCCCCACACATTTATTAAAATCTTGGGTAGATCTCATAACATTCTCTTCATTTTCAGACATCAAAATAACTTCATTTTCTGAAACTAGTATTTAAGGCAAGTCTTGTTCTCACATTTATTTCCAGTCTCCTCCTTGAACTCTCAGCTCACGCTTGATCTGCTTTTTTAGGACAAGAAGTAAGGGAGGATGTTGTAGTCTGTTTTGGACCTTCTTGTTTCTTTTAATTCTTCTCCTTGCACTCAGCTTTTGGCTAGTGCACAGTTGAGAAGAATAAGGGCAAACATCTCTGCACTTAGCTGATAGCTGTGATTTAGTATTAGCTGGTAAAAACTCTTTTTCAAAGCAAATGTTCTAGTTTTTGCTTTTCTGAGTAGTATTAGTAGTAGCTTCTTTCAAAGCCCTCTGAATTTCACTGGCCACTGATATGGCAATATGCTCTGTGACTGCATATTTGTCAACCCACAGCTGTTACCTTGTGATGAAATTCCATATAGATTCTTTTTTGCTGGCACTCTGTATTAATTTGGGATCTTTAAGGTGGTGAGTACCTTTTTAATGACTAAGAAAAACACAAGTTGAAAATTAAAATGTTTTTACTTACAGGCCCTGGAGGTACACACCATGCCATAATGGAGGTGGGTCAGCACCAGGAAAGAGAGGGATAACAATCTGTGAGCCAATGCTTTTATTGAGTCTGGGGCATTATCCAAACGGGGTTCCTGCAGCAAGTTTTAATGGGTGGGTTTGAAGCAAGGAGGCACAAGTTCCAGAAGGTCATGCTGTGACTGAAAGGTGGTTACTGTGAAAATACCTACACAGTCCATGAGGGGGTCAGTGAGGCTGCTCAAGTATGTTTTATCTAGCTGTCCCACAGACAGGTGGTCATGAAGAGGAAGTTGTATAAGGCAGTCGTGTAATACCACAATGAGGAACTGGCAGGGTTTGAGGGGGAGTGAGCTGAAGAGTTGAAAACTGTCTCATAGGTGACTGTGACCCACTTCTGGTATGAGAAAGTCCAACTTATACTCACAGTGGATGCCAAGGCAACACCATAATGATATGAATGCATTACAGACCCCTTTGTTCAATAGATGCTCCTTTTGGGCAGTGTCTTTTTATTATATGCCAATTCTGTCTTCCTTTGTGATATGCACTTAGCCTGAGAGAACCAAGGTACTTTTTTGTCACCAACACCAGGAGTGCAGCTTTCTCTCGTTACTGTTCTGTCTTTCTTGGCAGGCTTCCCAAGGTTGCTTCTTGTCAGAATGTTCTAGATAAAAGTTGTTACAGGTAACTATGTCCCACCTCCAACTTTTATATGTAATTTTCTCTCAAAGCGCTCTTGACTTCTGCTCTGGTGGCTGCTGTGGCCAAGCTGAAGCTTCAGCAGCTCCGTTAATATTTTTTTCAGGTTGTACGATATGCGCTTCCCCTTTAGCAAGCATCCACAGTCTCGGGGAGGGCTCTCTTGATGCCTCCATCACTTGCCTTGAGGTGTAGCAAAAGAGGGATAATCCCCATCATTGCCACTGTGGGGATCAAGCAGAAATTCTATAGCATTCTATACTTCTACCAATTATTTTACAACAGCCTCTCACACCACTCCTGTGACAATAAATCCTTACTATGCCTGATATATATATATATATATGGCTATTTATAGTTCTGCAAAAAAATTTTTAGATTATAAGTTCCTCTGACCAGACAATACTGCTGTAGAACACAATCCTAAAACCCTAGGATAGAGCAGGCTTAAGGTTCTTAAGGATGAGACACCTAAGTAATATGTTTGGCATTTGAGAATCTTCCAGACATTGCATTGTTGTTAGGTAAAAGAATGAAGTGGTTTTCTTTAAAAAATTGTAGTACTTTACATCTATGCTGAAGTACACTTCAAACACCAAATGGAATGTGTGTAGTAAAAATGATGCTTATTTAGTTTTCCAGCCATGAGTTAAACCATCTGTGTTTTGAGACACCCGCACTGGCTCTTCTCTGGACAAAATACCTAAAAATACAACTTATTAAATGATATATTACTTTTATTTCATTGTCCTGGGTGACATAATTGGTTAAAACATTTGCAATGCATTTTTAAGCAACTTGATCTAGAGCTAGGGAAAAGGAACAAATCATAACTTGTACTTTCCATACGTTTTGATATTCTCCATATGGCATTTGGGTCAGGAAGTTGCTAGAAAGAAAAATAGAAAATAAAAAAAAAATCAAAAACCAAAATCTTTATTTTTTTTCAGTGCAGGCCTCATTACCTATTTTATATCAATTGAAAAAAGCAAACTGCAATTTTTCTTGCTATTCCAAACATCTCTCTCTTATGTCTTTACCTGAATTCTTCCCTCTGACCATGCCTGGCATATCAATTCTCTTGAAGAACATACCTTACTCTATTACTCTATATAAAGTGTTCCAATGATTTCTTTTTGTTTGACAATTACTCTTTGTTTAAACATTTCAGCTTGGCATGGAAACTTTTCTTCAGTTTATGAAACAAGTGCTCCTTAGTTTTGTGTGCATTTTCCTCTAATGTATTTTATGTTTTCCCAATGAATCTGTTTCTATCCATGTTCCTTGCTACTTTAATTCTTTCCTCTTAAAAAAGGCTTTATTTTATTTTGAAATATATTCTTTTTATAAATATTTAGGTTGTAAAATGCAACAAAAATGGCAATATATCCAAAATCGCACCATCAGAAATAATGTTTTTAATATCAGCTGAACATTTTCTTAAACATTTGTCGAAGCACCTATAAAGAGGAATAAATAATCACACTTTCCATAAACTCTCCATTTTATTTGGTGCCTTAGTTAGTGGAGCAATATCTACATTATTTAACTAAAATAACTATTTTACTGTTGAGGCTATCCAAGCAAGGTAGTGGAAGAGGATTCCCTCATGTTTGTGCACGGAAACATCAACTTGAACAATTATTCATGTACAAAAATACCTTGATGAGACGGAAGGAAATCCAGCGAAAGGTTACCAAAATTAAGGGTGCCACAAAAATTTAAAAAATGAAATACATTGAAGAGGGTAGGAAGAACCATTTTACATTACCCATGCCACCCCTCACCTAACCTGGGGAAGTACAGCATAGAGAGAGCTACCTTTTACTCAGAAAAAAGGAGAGAGAAGTGAGCATCAGACTTTGCCTTGTACCCCAACACAAGGCCCATCCCACTAAAACTCAGCACTGAAAAGGCTCCCAAAACCCCAGACGTCAGGCTGGTACCCACAGGCTGAGCTTGCAGGCCTGACCCAGGCTCATGCTGGAACCTGTAGCTCCAAGTCCCAGGGATATTCAGGTTCAGGTCCCAGGGACTAGGTCCCTGGGGCTGCCACATCATTATGCTGACTTTAGTGGTCCCAGGTCCTGGACTTTACTGGCTCTGGACTGGCCACAGCAATGAGGCAGTCCCAGCTGCCTGGGGATCTAGTCCCACTTCTTCCAGGCCAACTATCATAGACTTCTCTAAGCCTACCACAGAGCCAAGTTAACCCTAGTGGCCCTGGGCTCCAGACCACCCCCAGCACTGGGCCAACAAGGAAAATAGAACAGGACAAAAGATCTACAAAACAACCAGGAAATCATTAATGAAATGACAGGAATGTGTACTTATCTATTCATAATTACCTTGAACATATATTGATTAAATTCTCCAATCAAAAGATGTAAAGTGGTAATATGAGGCAGCTGTCTTTGTTTTTTGTTTCTTTTTGTTTTGTTTTTGCTTAGAGTTGCTTTGGCTTTCCAGGCTTGTTTTTGGCTCCATATGAAATATAGAATAGCTTTTCTAATTATGTAAAACATAACATTTGTAGTTTGATAGGAATAGCATTGAATCTCTAGATTGCTTTGTGCAGTATGGCCATTTTAAAAATAATGATTCTTCCAATCCATGATCATGTAATGTTTTTCCATTTGTTTGTGTCATCTGTGATTTCTTTTAGTAGCGTTTTATAGTTCCCTTTGTAGATGTCTTTGACCTCTTCAGTTAGATGTATCCGTAGGTATTTTTGGGGCATGTGTGTGTGTCTGCTGTAAGTGGGATTGCATTTTTTATTTGGTCCTCAGCTTTAACATTATTGGTATTCATTATTTAACATTTAAATATTTAATATTATTGGTATCAGAAATGCTACTGATTTGTATATATTGATTTTATATCCTAGAAGTTAACTGAATTTATTTATCAGTACTGGGAGCCTTTTGGCAGGGTCTTTAGGGTTTTCTAAGTACAGAATCATACCTTCAGCAAAGAGGGTTAGTTTGACTTATTTCTCTATTTGGATGCCTTTTATTTTTTTCTCTTTCCTGACTGCTCTGGCTAGCACCTCCAGAATTACACTGACTAGGGTTGGTGGAGAGGGCATTCTTTTCCAGCTCCAGTTCTCAACAGGAATGCTTTTGCCTTTTACCTGTTCAGTATGATGTTGGCTGTGGTTTTGTCATAGATGGCTCTTATTATTTTTAGGTGTGTTTTTTGATGTCTAGTTTGTTGAGGTTTTGTATCATGAAGGGATGCTGGAGTTTATCAAAATCTTTTTCTATATATATTGAGATGATCATATAATTTTTGTTTTTAATTCTGTTTATCTGGTGAATCACATTTATTGATTTGCATCTGTTGGATCAAACTTGCATCTCAGGAATAAGCCTACCTGACCATGGCGAATTAAGTTTTTGGAGTGCTGCTTTATTCAGTTTGCCAGTATTTTGCTGAGGATTTTTGTGTCTATGTTCAACAGGGATATTGGCCTAAAAAATTTTCCTGTTTATTGTGTTTTTTCCAGCTTTTGATAGCAGATTGATTCTGGCTTTGCAGGATGAGTTAGGGAGGAATCTCTCCTCCTCAATTCTTTTGTAATAATTTCACTAAGATTGATATTCGCTCTTCAGCCGTGAATCCATTTGGTCCAGGGCCATATTGTTTGGTAGGTTTTTCATTACTAATGTAATTTTGGGATTCATTATTAGTCTATTCAGGTTCAAACTTGAGAGATTGTGTGTTAATGGGAATTTATCCATTTCCTGTAGATTTTCTAGTTCGTGTGCATATTACAAGACAACGGCAATCAAAACAGCATAGTACTTGAACAAAAACAGACACATAAACCAATGAAATGAATAGAGAATCTAGAAATAAAGTCATACACCTACAGCCATCTGATTTTTTTAAAGTCAAAAAAACAAGCAATGGCAAAAGGACAGTCTATTTAATAAATGATGCTGAGATATGGGATATAAATTGGCTAACCATAAGCAGAATAATAAAACTGAACCCCTACCTATCACCATACATAAACATTAACTCAAAATGTATTAAAGACTTAAATGTAACATCTCGAACTATAAAAATCCCGGAAGAAAATCTAGGAAATATCCTTTTTGACATCAGCCTTGGCAGAGAATTTATGGCTACATCCTCAAAAGCAGTTGCAAAGGAAAAAAAAAGTTGACAAGCAGGACCTAATTAAATGGAAGAGCTTCTGCACAGCAACAGAAACTATCAAGAGAGTAAACAGACAAACTACAGAATGGGAGAAAAGATTTGCAAAATATGTATTTGACAAAGTTCTAACATCCAGAATCTGTAAGTAACTTAAACAAATCAACAAGCAAAAACAGAAATAATAAAGTAGCTTTTGTATATATTAATAACAAACTATCTGAAAATAAATTTAGAAGACAATTCCATATATGCTAACATTTTAAAAACCACATAGAAATAAATTTAACCAAGGAAGAGAAAAACCTATACAGTGAATACCATAAAACATTAGTGAAAGATATTGAAGGATACAAATAAATCAAAAGATATCCCATGATTATTGATTAGAAGAGTTAATATTTGTTAAAAAGTTTATACTAACCAAGGCAATCTACAGATTTAAGGCCATCCCTGTCAAAATTCCAATGATATTTTTCACAGAAATAAAAAAATCCCTAGAATTCATATGGAACCACAAAAGACCCCAAATATTCAAAGTAATCTTGAGAAAAAAGATCAGAGTTGAAAGCACCTCAAAAGCTGACTTCAGATTATACTCTGAGGCTATGGTAGTTATGGTACTGCTATAAAGACAGAAATATAGACCAATAAAACAGAATAGAACACCCAGACGTAAGTCCATGCACTTATGGTCAATTGATTTTCAACAAATTTATTTCCACATGGTGGATACTGTACAGCCTTAAAAAGGAAGAAAAGATCCTATCATTTGTGACAACATAGGTTAGCCTGGAGGATATAATGCTGAATGAAATGGGCTAATCACAGAAATACCAATACTGTACCATCTCACCTATATGTGGAATCTAAAAATGTTGAACTCGTTGAAGCAGAAAGTAGCATGTAAAGGCTAGGGAATGGCGGAAGGTGGCTGCAGTGCACATCGGGTAGATGTTGGTCAAATAATTTTTTTCATTTAGATAGGAAAAATAAGTTAAAGAGATCTATTGTACAACATAGTCATTACGGTAATTAACAAAGTATTGTATTTTTGAGAATTACTAAGAGTAAATTTAAGTGTTCTTCTCCAAAAAAGGTAAGTATGTGAGGTAATATAAATGCTAATAATTTTGGTTTAGCTATTCCACAACGTGTATATTATCTGAAAACATCATGACACACATAACAAACATGCACACTTTTTACTTGCCAACTGAAAGAATCAATTAATTTTAACAATGAAACTAAGAAAATCCCTTTTGATACATGAAAATTGTATCTGAATTATATGGTTATTCAGACTTAATGAAGATACTCAGTTTTTATTACACATGAAGATCTCAATAGATGGAGTTCTCTTCAGCCCGGCTTAAAAGAACAGTTACAATAAAATTCATTGTAAAATGTACTATTTCTTTCCCTTTCCTTAATATTGCTTTATAACCTCACTTTAGGAGAAAATATTATTTCCACTTTATAGATAAGGCATGGAATTTGTGATAGTTTCATATAAAGAAGACAACATGGATACCTTTATACTGTGGTACTGTATCTTTGTCAGTATCCTCATATGTGCAAGCAAGTAAGCTTAGTTAGTGTTGCTCATGAGAATTATCTACCTTTGTTAAATAATGAAGTTCCTGCTCCTACTTTTCCTGAAATATGCTACTTTGAGTTGCATGTATAAGAAGAAGCTTCAATTTTCAAATCAACCCTAGCAATTCAGAGCATCTACCTTTTGGGACTTTTGGTGTAAATTGTTCTGAAATCACGCCTCTCTCCAACAGTGAATTTCATGTGTACCACATAGCCTTATGTATATCTTGTCACTCAATCTTTACAAATTGGTTGGGGGAAAAAATCCAATTTTAATTTTGCAATATAGTTGCAGAAAATAGAAAAATGTATTTTTTAATAGTCTTAGGTGTCATTTTGATGGCATTACACTAGTGGACTGAACATAAATAGTCTCTCACAATTAATAGATATGTACCTTTGCTAAAATAATAAAAGTAAATTAGTATTTACTATTGGTAGAATTTTGGAATAGTCTGACACCTTCATTTGATTTATTAGAAAAAGTTTGAGTAACTGATTTGTATAGCTAATTATAGTCCCATCTAAGAACTGTAAATATATATTTATTTGATTATTTTTAAAAATGTACTCTTGGCTGGGCGCTGTGGCTCACACCTGTAATCCCAACACTTTGGGAGGCCGAGGTGGGTGGATCACCTGTGGTCAGGAGTTCAAGACCAGCCTGACCAACATGGTGAAACCCTGTCTCTACGAAGAATACAAAAATCAGCTGGGCATGGTGGCGCATGCCTGTAATCCTAGCTACTCGGGAGTCTGAGGCAGGAGAATCGCTTGAACTGGGGAGGTGGAGGTTGCAGTGAGCCGAGATCGCACCATTGCACTCCAGCCTAGGCAACAAGAGTGAAACTCCATCTCAAAAAAAAAAAAAAAAAAAAAAAAGCACTCTGAGATTCAAACCTTTATCTTAAATTATGTTTAGTCAAATGTCATGCATGTGCATCCCAGCCTGTGTCTGAACTGAATGAACATACATAATATTGTTTTTCACAGCCATGGAAAATCTAAAAGCCACTATGATTTATTTCACATGAGCTCTAGTTTTGGCATTCAATATACCTTCTCTTTGAATCTTGAATTTACTAATTTTTGATAATATACATTACAGAGGTTAAATAAATTTGCCTTTTCATCTGGAAAATGTAATACAACTTCTCATTTATATAATCGAAATGTTAATATGAGGGTATGCTTTCTCAGAGTAGCATACATTGATTTTTTATAGCAGTTATAATTTTATATTTATTTATGATGTTTATATTTCTCCATAAGCTGTGAGTGCCACAGAAATCTTCTGTCTTTGTTCTCATCATTATTCTTATTTACTGTCTTATGCAGGCATAACACATAGTAGGCCCTCAAAATTTATTAAATCAATAAAATGTATTGAATCAAAAAAAACATGCAAATGGCTTAGTGCAGTATCTGACACGATTTATATTACTTTTTATTAAAGCTATTTATTCACTGTAAAATACTTCGTAGCCAACAGTATTTTAGAATTTAGCCTTTTAGATTATATATGACAGTACTTACACTATGAGAACAAATTTATCTTAATCTTAATATTTCAACTAATTTAAAGTGAATGATGAAATAAAAATGTGATTCATCTAAAAGCTGATTTACTAGATTTTAGCTTGAGTCCCGAAACAGATTCATTTCCTCTCTAGTTGAATTACAGTTATTTTTAAAAGGGTGTTACCAACAAGATACTGAGAGACCATTAGCCATAGCGATGCTAGAAGTCTAAACAATAACTATTGAGATCAGTTGAATGTCATATGCTCTTTTTGATATGGCAATCTAAAGTTACTGCAAACATAGTGATAAATAATTATATCTCCTCAGATTATAAACTCATATTCTATACCGAGAACTGAAAGCAAATCTGATATTTTATAGCAAAATGCCAAGTGGAATTTGTTGTTTTGTAAGTGTTGCCTGGAATGAGGTACTTGAAACAGGATAAAGATAAAAGGGCAATGCCAAAAAGATGATTTATTTCCCAATTGTTCATTCCTTTCCAATAGGCAAACAACAAAGCTGCACACTGAGAGAATTTACTATATATGACACAAGAAAGGAAACTTGTATTTCATCGTAATCTATTTTCTTTCTTAATAACAACAACTTATTTAAGAATTTAAGCAAATTTTGAAATTTTTAATGTCTGGTCATTCCACGTATCTCTGGAGCTTAGCATTATGCCTAGCACACGGGACATAAAGAACAAATATCCATGGAAGGACTACATTTCAAATGCATTTTATCAAAAAGTAAGTAGTCTGACAAATCATAAATTATGCAAATATTGCTTAACAAACTCCTAATGTATAGTATTACATGCCCTTCAGTGCTCTTATTTGATTAAAATTAATATTAAGTAGTGTTCCTATAGCAGTAATATGAAACTAATGTCATCAATTGAAATCAATATCTTATTTGGACATGATAGAAGTCTGTTCCTTTTTAAGAGAAAGAAATTCCATATTCAGATTCCTTTGAATCTGATCTGCCTAGATAATTCTTATTTTATGAAGAAATTACAAACTCTAGCAACTTGCTGTTATCACTCAGATAGTTGATGGCAGAACTCAATATCCAAGTTTCTCTACTTCTAATTGTTTTCAGTACAAAACAAAGATACTACTAATTAGCAACCTGACTCAAGTTGCTTTATCAAGACAAATTATTTACTTTAAGTGAGGTGTTCTGTTTTAAATAAATCCACAGTTACCAATGAGATATAAAAATATACCAATGGGATATTGAAATTTGTTTTTAAAATTAATAGTAATATTAATATGCTCTTCTGACAAAAATGTTTTCTATTGATAGAAATTTACGGAAATTATCAAATGATTTTATGTCAGAATACAACCACAAATTTGATTTAATTAATTATATAATTTTCCTTCCTACTTAAACTAATGGATATATAATCTGTTAGTCAAATAACTCAAATAAATATATGAAGATAAACATTTGAATCACTTCTTTTTCTTCTTAATATGCATTGGGGTATCACAACTGTAATACTTTTGGATTTTTACTCAATTATTAATTATTGAACTTTGGGTTTCTTAAGCATTTTTAAAATGATAGTTGAATTTAAACAAAGCACAGGACAAGTTTAAGAAAATATTAAATCAAAGTTGTAATTCCAAAGCTTTCCCATTTCAATTTCCTTCCATATGTTTTTATCATATGAAGTTGTTTTCTCTTTATCTGTTTGTTGTGTTAATTTTCTCTTCCCACTGGACAACCAAATGTCAAAATCACTGATTTATTAATTTCACTTAAAATTACAGCTTAGATGAATTTTCTAGGCATATGGTGGTTCTCTCATCGTATATTCATTTTGTTCAGGATGTTCTCCCTTTGAACTTAAAAGCTGGCCAAGTTATAATGAAGTGTTTGGAGAGTAATAAATTGAAAATACAATCAGAGACACTTTTTCTGTTCCAGTTGTCTCACTAGTGCTATTATTTTGCCCAGTGCTACTGAGTTCAGGGAAATCATGAGATACAACAATGTATTTTTACTTTTAACTAGAGGTACTTGTTTACAGTGATAAATATCTGCCTACAATGTTGACTTCTATTTTTAAGAAATATTACCAAATTAGCCTGGGGTCTGGTCCCATCACCCCCTTAACCCTCCTTTTATTTCCACCTTTCTGCTCAATTTCACAGTATAATGGTAATGCCTTCCTGTTCTTTACATCAGAGGGGACTTAAAGATAGAAGCAGCTACTGCAGACTATTAATATATTTGTAAAACAATGAAAAAGAGACTTCATTATTTTCTAACAAACTATATTTAACTGTTTATTAGGAAGGGCAATACTTGATAATTACTTGTGCTTTTCATGTTTTTTAAAAAATAGCTTGTTGAATTTGTTGGATGTGCTGTTTGTGTTGTGGCCTAGGGAGATATCTCCCATGAATAATACTAAAAAGCAGCTTGGATGATATAGCTTAGAAATTCATCTGGTAAATGTAATGATAAAACTCACATACAATATACAGTTGACCTTTGAACAACATGGGTTTGAATTGTGCAGGTCCATTTATATGAGAATTTCTTTCAGTAAATACATTGGAAATTTTTTCGGAGATTTGCAATAACTTGAAAAAAACAGCTGAACTATGTAACCTAGAAATTAAAAAATTGTAAAGGTATGTCATGAATATATACAAATATGTAGATACTAGTTTATCATTTACTTCTGTAAAATGTACACATATTACTATAGAAAGTTAAAATTTGTCAAAATTTACATATACTTAGACTCTACATGGCATCATTTGAAGTCAAAAGCGATAAGAACAAATGTAAAAATGCACTATTAAATTATAACTGCATGAAATTAACTGTCATATATACTGTACTACTATAATAATTTTGTAGTCACCTCCTGTTGCTATTGCAGTGAGTTCAAGTGTTTTGAGTATCCACTTAAAACACCATGTGACAATAAGCATCACATGAGCAGTCATCGCCAACAAATGTAGTAAAAAGTAATCTCTTGCACAAAACCCATATTTTTCATTGTGTTTAGTGCAATCCCAAAACTCTTGAAAAACACCAATGGAACTCATACAAAGTGCCACTAGTGGTGCTGGAAATGCTCCCAGAAAGCAGAGAAAAGTCATGGCAATATAACAAAAGTTGAATGGCTTGATAGATACCATAGATTGAAGTCTGCAGATGCCGTTGCCTGCTATTTCAAACTGATGATTCATCTTGAAAACAAATTATATAAACTTACTGTATTGATAAATACAGTACAGCAGTGTAAATGTATTTTCTCTTCCTTATGATTTTCTTCATAACATTTTATTTGCTTTAGCTGACTTTAAGAATACAGCATATAATACATATAACACAAATATGTGTTTATTACCTGGTTATGTTATTGGTAAAGCTTTCTGATAACAGTAGTCTGTAACTAGTTAAGTTTTACTCCCCCAAATACCAATTTTTGGGGGAGTAAAAAGTTACATGCAGTTTTTTGACTTCAAGGATGTGGGAGGAGGCTCTGTGCCCCTAACCTCTGCATTGTTTAAGTGTCAACTGTAAGTCAATTCAGTACATGGCTAATGAGGGTTGGACTCCTTGTTTCCTATTGGGTTCCTTCTTTAGTTAACCTAAGCGCCTTTGCCTCAAACTCTAGCATTTTATCCTAAGTTAATTTATTTTATAACTAGTTATTCCTTTATAATTAAAGAGAGGACGTCAGTCCTTCCTCAGTGCTTGTTGATTTTTTTTTCTCATTGTGTCTTTTCTATCCAAAATATGTATTGTTCACATTCTTAAATATCATGCTAACTCATATTGTTAGCTCTAAAACATGTATGCATTTGCTGAGAGCTGAATTATATTAACATTTGGTTTCCTCTTACGAATGACATAAAACATTTTTACTGCTGCTTTTGAAGTTGTACTACTCCTTTTTCTGCAACATATTTGGAGAAGATATTACATATTGCAAGATTCATGGCCTTCATTATCTCTCTAGTGTTATGTTTTGCATTGAACAATACTTTTTTCTGTTATATTGATCATTTCAAGAGAGGCCAAAGATGTTCTGGGAACTTCGAAGTGACTGGAAATCCTTAGGTACATAGCTATAACATCAAAACTTATTTCAGACTTATAGAATGTGGGGCGGTGGGGGAGGAGGAGTATCCTGAGAGCACTTGGCCACAGTCACCCTGACCAGCCTGCCCTACAGTTTGTTCTTTCCAGGCGTTGTTATCATCACTGGAAGGCTTTCCTCACCCTCCTCATTGGGGAGCAGCCCTCTAGTCTGTTTTCAGTAAAGAGAGAGCTTCTCTTTATCCTTGCTAGAGAAACCTCTTAGCTTTTTAATCAGAGAATAACTTTTGTTGTGGCAATTGTTAGACTGCCATTTCAAAATAACCAAAACTACATTTTCTCTTTCCGTTCTCTCTGTTTTTAATGAAATCCTTTAAATTAAATAAACAGTTTTGTAAGTGTATGCTACCTGCTGAGAAAAGCTCAGAAACACCCATAACAACTCTTTTGATCACTGAGTAATTATTTAGCTTCCTGTCATCCCTGCCACCAAAACATATACTATATGTATTACTCATGCATGCAGGAACACACACACACACACACACACACACACACACACACACACTCAGTTTCTCTCCTACAGTTATTATTTTTTTTGGGTTAGGAGAAAAACCACTAATGGAATGAATTAAGCTCTAAATAATCTCTCTCTCTCTCTGTCTGTCAGTAACTACCATCACGTTAAATGTTACACAATCATAATTTAAAGAGATCTTAAGTAATTTATTCAAGACCCTATAAACTAATAAGTGTTAGAGTCCAAATCTGAACTCAGATCTCTCAGTTGCTAAGGTCCATGGTGATTTTACCACAGCACTAAAACTTTGTACTGTAGGAGAGGTCAGTAGGTTGATGACCATCAGATTCCCTAAAACTGAAACTCCAGCAGTGTTTTACAGTCCACAAAGTGTCGTCATCGATCTGCTCTCATCTGGGTCTCTCAATAGCAGTAGGGGATATAAATTATTTTTTTACTTTAAACAAAAGGGAAACTGTGGCTCATAGGGTTATGGGCTGAGAGAGAGAAATCCCAGATTCAGTCAGAGGATTTGGAAGTGATATACCAAATGTCCTTGCATTTCTGTAAAAGCAATAACAACTGAGGGATTTATTTTTGAGAAACTCTGTTATCACAGAATGTGTTAATGAAGAGATGACAGGACAAGAGGCTCTAGGTTATGACCATGAGGTGTTTGTCTTATCTGCATTGGATTTATTTATTTTGTGCCTTCAACCCATGGTGGCAGGACTAAACTGCGAACAACCCGTGAACAACATAGAGGATGAATTTGTTTTGTCCTCCTCATTCATCACTTTCATTTTTCAATGCTTTCTTCATAAATCCTTCTATACTGTGAGTGTAAAGGAGGCCCTCTTGTTTCTACTGTGCTAAGAGCACACTCTATTCACCTGCCTTGTGATTAAATCTATTTTTCTATCCCAATCCCACTCTACATTCCTTATGTAATAAACTTGCCCATTGTGACAAATGTCATTAGATAGCCAGCTTCATAACAGACTTACACATTTGAAAGTAATTTCCCAAGAAAAAGCCTTATTCAAAATGACAATATGATAGTTATAATCATTATAACTAACATTTCACTTATCACGAGGCACTTGTGATATTAGGCACTATGGTAAACATTGTCTTATTTTATCTTCAAAAAAATCTCCTTGAATTAGGTGTGATTTCCATGTAGCCTTTTTATACATGAATACTCTGATGTTAAAGAAGTTAGGGTTGCCTAAAGCCATTTGGAAAGTGGCGAAGAGAGTGTTAAAAGAGTGATCTATTGAAATACCGTCTTGTCATATAATATCTGCCACAAGAGCATAGAGCAGAAGTTCAAATATAGACTTCTGCTCTATATTCTTGTGGCAGACATTATATGATGAGATAGTACTTCAATCATCTCATGTAAGCCCATTACAGCTTTGTAGGGTCAACTCTAATTCATGTTAATTTCATGGAACTCTAATGTTGGTTTCTACTCCTTTTCTTCAAACTGCAAACATTATTTACATTTGCTACTGAGTACATGTGTGTAAGGTATACAGCCAGCACAGAAACAATTACATCATCAAGTGTCAGCACACACATGGTACAGGGCTAAAGCAATACATGTAACCAGAGGTTGCAACAGTATTCACCAACTGGAGTTGTAAATAACCCTGAATCTCAAAGAGAGAAAATGATTACCCTATAAAGGCAATCTGGCCTGCACCATGCTCTTCAACCAGAATAACTGTATTCTGTGTCTGCAAGTGTTTATCTTTCATTCATAAACATGCTCCAGCTTGCACAATCAACTAACCCATGAAAATTATAGAAATAAGAGTAAGCTAAATTGCCACAAAGAATCAATGCAAGGCTTGAACTTCTGGTTCTGGAGGCATTAATGAATGATTTCTGCCTTGCTAGTCTTCTGCTGGCAGAGTTAAAAAGCAAATGAACAAATCATGCTGCATGTCAGAGAGATTACATAAGCATAGCCATTTGAAAGCTGTATGTCTCTGTACAACATCCCCTAACAAGACATTCAGCATCAACAAACTCTACTGCAAAGCCCGTTGACATCTGTGATCTTTGGAAGCTGGCTGCTCTATGACAACAGATAGAAGCTACTTTTCTCTTAACATTTTTAGGCAGTGTCTTTTTGAGACACTCTCTGCCCCTTCCCTGCCCTAAATTATTCCAGATATCAGCCAAGTGCCAGGAACAGCCGGTTTTGGATTCACTGCCCAGACCCTTGGAAAAACACACTCATTTCAGACTGTCACTGAAACTGCATTATCTGAACTACAGACCAGTAGGTTACTCACTGCTTCATCACACTTTGTTCATTTTTTCCGTGGACCCATCAGCCCATCAAACCTTGTTTTTCTGGTTCTGACAATCAATCTATGGCCAGAAGATAAATATGCACTGGAATGCTGCTTTTTTAGGGGAAAAAATCCCAGCCCTAATAGACTAGCTGTTTCTCACCCTTGAGGTCTAGCTATGCCACATTTAAAATGGTTTCTGTTGATGCCGCCATTCTTCCGATTTAGGCAAGTAGTTTCTGTTGCACCATGGCTTACAAAGGTTTCTGGGTGCAGTGCACTCTTCTAAAATTTATTGATATAGCCTGGTGTCAAATGAAAAGCTAAGCTCAGCCACTGTGACCCTTGGAACAAGCCTGTATTGCAAATAGCCACAAAACTTCAAGCCAGGATTTGGCTTGACAACCTGCTGACACTTCTCAGATGCAGAATATCTGTCAGGCTCGTCTTTGCTGGGTCTGAGTAAATAGTGGAAAATAAAGGAGACTTGTCACTTGATTTTTCAGGCGTTTAACTCTTCAGTATATTTGTAGATTATTACTTTTGTTGTGTTCACTCCTTCCTTGTTCAGTATTTCAGCCTGAAAGCATTCAAAAAATATTTCAAGCTAAAGAATAAAGTAACCAGACATGCTTTACAGTAAAAAAAAAAAAGAAAGAAAAAGTGACTATAAGATTTCTAATTTTGACTATAACACAAAGTAAAAATAATAAATTGTCAAAAGCTTAGAAATAAGAGTGAAAAATCAAATTGCATGTTTTTAGCAGATTTATTTCACATTCCAGAGTTGTGCTTCAAAATGCATTTTGCAATTCAGAAAAAAACTATATTTTGATCCAGTTCACTTGTCTAAATAAGAAGGACATTAGACAGCAATGAACAGCAATTTTGTAAATTCTGGTGTCTTAAGTAGTGCAATATACTCTGGTCTATATAGGATGCTATTTACCCAATACATGACCCCATCTGTGACAGAAGAGTCTCTCCTTAAATTTTTTACATGTGTAAGGCAATCATTTGCCATAACTCTAGTGAGCATTGGAAGAAAAGTTTATTTTAAAATGTCAAAAGCCAAAATGAAAACAAAACAAAGCAAAAATGGGAGACAGGCTTTTTACTTTCTCTGAATTTAGAGCATATTAAAAATAACAAAAAATATGGGCATGATATCTTGTAATGAGTATTGACTCATTTTATGGTGTATGTGTGTTTGCCCATATGTATGTGAGTTCACACACACACACGTTTGTGTGTGCACATGTTTTTGCATCCTCTTATTTAAGCTTAAAGTTTTCCAAGCACTACCATCTGCTTTTCATGCATTTTGGAATAGCACTATGCTGGACAATATTTCAACACTTGACAAGAATCAGAAAACCTGAATTTTTTTTCCTGTTCCTGCTACTTAATATTCTTTTGATCTTGGTTATATCTTTACATTCATTTTAAGCAAGTAAGTTTCATTCATTTTTATTGACATACTGTAAATAATTATTTCCTCTCCTCATCTCTCTCCCCTAGGATTCAAATTTAGAGTATGATATGATCTTTCTTAGCATTTAAATTTATGCTGTGAAATATGCTTATATCATTACTCAGTTGGACAGCTGTAAGAGACATTCCTTGCCTTTTATCATAAGTGAGGATATCAGTAAACATATCCTGCTTGCCACATTCTTTCTCCCTTGCATTCAAATTTGTTTCTAGTTGTATTGTGTTTACATTTCCATTCCATACTATACCTGCATCCTGTTCTGTTACACTGCCCTGGACTCAGTTTATGTACCTTTCTGGATTTGTGAACTTGTTTGCTTTCGGGCTATAATAGCCCTAGCAAGAACGTTTAACATATATAAAGTTAGGTTGTTGTTCAGCTGAAAAACCCAAGAGTATTGCTACGGTGGTTGTTCTTAGGCCCTCTCAGTCATATGAGAGGAAAATACCCAGAAAAATCCCTAAAGATATGTAGCTTGTGCCTGTTCCATTTGCCTCTCACCTTGAGTTTTTGGGTTTCACAGATGCTGCTGAGGCATGAGAACAGCAGGGAGTGCTTGTTACCCCTGCTACCAGGCAGGCCCACAAGCCTGCAGGTGGTGTGGGCAAATAGGGAGTTCACTAATCTCTACAGGCCAGGGATGCCATCACTGTTATTTTGGGCACTGGCTTCCATAGCAGCTGTTAGGGTTGCCTCATGATGCAATTCAGATGCTTAAAGGAGTTGAAGCCCTACAGGGCAAACTTTGGCTAATGGGATACAGAAACCTACAGATCAATTTCTGTCTCTAATTTCAGGACAAGTAGTTCAGGGATCGGATGCCTTCATAAGGCCTCTAGGAAGGTGTCCTTCAAGAAAAGCTGTAAGGAATGCTTCATAATGTTTTAGCCAGTAGGTAAAGCCTCCACTCATTTTTTCAAATCCTCTTGTTTTGCTGTTTTTCCCTTGCATACTTGATTTTTTGCTTTGCAATTTCCTTTCATTGAGGTCGACACTTTATTATAATTTTGTTTTCCTTCTTCATGGCAAAATGCTGATCATAACTTTATTCCAATGGAAACTTTATTGAAAAATGTCTCTTTTGAGTAAGTTTACTGCATTTTTTCTACAGTTTTAAATTGCATTAAAAAAATACCTTCTGGGCCACTTTATTTCTATTTGTACTGAATTAAGGAGTTGGAATTTTGGCCTATTTGTAGGGAGTTGTGAGACGGGGTAAGAGCATTAGTCTTCTAGGTTTTTCATCTTGAAATTCCTTCTTCTTTGTGGTCACAGAGAAAATTGCTTCCTGTAAAAATTGTGAGTCTGCATAATTTTTGTGTGTAGCTTTGTCCCCTCTGCATCTCTGAAACCAGTTTAGCATGACTTCTGCAAAAAGACATTGTAACCTCAGTTCCATGATCTGTTGTTAAAGGAGACATGTGCTTGCATGTCAAGGTGAGCCTCTCACTTTCCATGAGGGTAGTTAGGCAGGCAATTGTCATAAACTTCACTCCTTTGAGCCCGCCCTCTTGCCACTCTTTTTGCATCTTCTTTTATTCTCACCTGCATGGTTTCTGCCTGCATTTAACTTCCTTTACTTTGTAATGTTTTAATCATATCTAAAAACACATATTTATAATCCGCTTTTATGGATTGGCTAAATCATAGCAGGTGTTTTTCAGTCTCACATAAAATGACAGAATATTTAATGGACATTTTTGTTCAAAAATAATAATCCATGTCTTAGCAACCATATGGTTTAAAAGAAAAAAATATTCAAATATCTGAATAATCAACAAATCACAATAAAATAGTTATAATTTATGTTTTACATATGAAGGCATAGATATTAATTCTATTTATATATTTATGAGAAGTTAAATAAAATAATAGCCGTAAATTCACAGAGAATTATTGTAGAAATTAAATTAAAATACTGCATAACTTATCCAAAAGATTAAGCTTTATCAATTTTTTCAAATAAAAATATATAAATTGAAATCTATGTACATATGCACGTACACATATGCATAGCACAATATCTTGTGTGTAAGTGGTATATGCTGAATGAATATGGAAGAAACTAAGGTGTTAAAAATTTAATTACTTGTCTTCACCACTAGCTTCTTGGAGTTTAACACAATGCTCTCATAAAGTAGATATGAAATATATATTTGCTACCTGATTAAACTGAGTGACTATTTTAGTTATGACAAAATACTGGTAGTCTATACTATTTTTGCTTGCGGAATTAGCAGACTTTGTGGTAGAATAATTCATCCTGGATTAGGAGCTTTAGAAACACAGATAATGTCTGGTGAGAAAAGCTGTTCAGGAAGAGATATATCATGAATTCTCAGTCACACTGATGGTAAATGAATAATAGGAATTAACTTGCATATTTTCACAGAAATGAATAGAATTTTTATGTTTTTATATGTTAGAATTTTATAGGATGAAATTATAATGTAATTTATCTGCACATTTTCTACATTACTTAAGGTTTTTAATGAGAATTTTATAATTACTGTGGTGAGCAGCTCAAAGTGATATTTTTGTTTCCAAAAAACAAACAAACTCATATATAATTTTAGAACTCTGGTGGATCTGTTATCATTTATTTCTTCATTACTAATTGTATTTATAGTTCTCCACAGAAGGTACCTATTGGATTAAAATTAGTCCTTTATGCACGCAAATCTAAATATATCCTCTTAAATGGGCTTTATGCTTCTAGTTATGCAGAACATTTTCTTCATTTTTATTGGCATTATTTTATGTTAGACTATCTTAGTATCAGAGATATTTTATAAAACAAAACAGGTTGACATCTCTTGAATTACTATTCCGTGTGTGTGTGTGCATGTGTGCATACACTTGTGTTCTATAGTAAGGCATTAGAATTTCAAACATAAATGTATGAAAATGATCATGGTAATTATTTCCCAAGTCATGAAGGGCATAAGATGGGATAATTCTCTTCTCTTTGGAGGAAGAAGATTTCCTTATTAATCTCTTTTTTCTTAATCATGAAGTATGTCAATTAAGCAGTAAGTTGAGTCTCCCACTATATTCTGTGTTATCTATTTTCTTCAGATATTATAAATCACTTGTGTCAGAATTACTAAGGTGCTTACTAAAAATGCCTATTCTGAGCATCTCTCCAATTGAACACTTGCCAACTCCAAGATGAACCAGGTATTGGAATCATCAGAAATAAACTTTAAAGTAGCTTTAACCATGTTCTGTAGAGTAAAAGTTTTTGAAATGAAGGAAAATATACATTTCTTCAGATAAATAGAAATAGAGATACAAATGAAAGCTTTATAACTGGAAAACACAGTATCTTAAATAAAAATGTACACAGAATGGGCTTAATAGGAGAACGTCAATAACATAAAAGAATCAGTGAACTTCATGGTATGTCAATACATCTAACCCAAGCTGAAGAACAAGGAGAAAAAATAAATAAAAATGAACAGAGTCTAAACATCCTCTGAGATCATATCAAAATATGTAATGCTTTTGTCATTGGAGTTTCAGAAAGAGAGAAGACAGAGATTGGTATAGAAAAAAAGTTTAAAAAATAATGGTGAACAACTTCCCAACTTAGGTAAAAGACATAAATTTACAGATCCAAGATTAATGAACACCAAACAGTACTCAAAGAAAACCACTTCCAGATATATTATATGCATGCTACAAGTCAAAGTAATAAAATCTTACAAGTAACAAAAAAAGAAGAAAAGGGACACATTACATATATTAGAACAACAATTCAAATGAGTGAATATTTCTTACCAAAAATTGTTTACCCATAGCAAAACAACATTTTTAAAGTACTGAACAAAATAAATGTCAATCCAGAATGTCACATGCACCAGAAATATTTTTGATGAATAACAGCAAGACAAAGACATTATAAATACAGAAAAATAATAAAGATGGTATAGTTATGTTTCAAGAAAGATTAGAGGAGTTCTCCAGGCAGAAAAACATGAAGGAATATTTCCTTTATGTTGGGAGCAAGCCCCCCCAAAATCCGGCCATAAACTGGCCCCCAAACTGGCCATAAGCAAAATCTCTACAGCACTGTAACATGTCCATAATGGCCTTAATGCCCAAGCTGAAAGGTTGTGGGTTTACGGGAATGAGGGCAAGGAACACCTGGGCGCCCAGGGCAGAAAACCGCTTAAAGGCATTCTTAAGCCACAAACAGTAGCATGAGCGATTTATGCCTTAAGGGCATGTTCCTGCTGCAATTAATTCGGCCCATCCCTTCGTTTCCCATAAGGGATATTTTAGTTAATTTGACACCTATAGAAACTGCTAATGACTGGTTTGCTGTTAATAAATATGTGGGTAAATCTCTGTTCGGGGCTGTCAGCTCTGAAACCCCTGATTTCTCACTTCACACTTCTATATTTTTGTGTGTATTTCTTTAATTCCTCTAGCGCCGCTGGGTTAGGGTCTCCCCAACGGAGCTGGTCTCAGCACCTTTATACCAAAAGACATGTGGAACTTTGCAAGTGAAGAAAGAACAACAGAATGTTACTATCCAGGAAACTATGACAAATTATTTTTTCCCTTACATTTTAAACATAAGCTGGGCACAGTGGCTCACACCTGTAATCCTAGCACTTTGGGAGGCTGAGACAAGCAGATCACCTGAGGTCGGGAGTTGAAGACCAGCCTGGCCAATATGATGCGGAACCATCCCCAGTCTCTAATAAAAATGGAAAAAAAAAAATTAGACAGACATGGTGGCACATGTCTGTAATCCCAGCTACTTGGGGGACTGAGGTCAAAGAATTGCTTGAGCCCAGGAGGTGGAGGGTGCAGTGAGCCAACATAGCACCACTGCACTCCAGCCTGGGCAACAGAGCAAGACTCCATCTCAAATAAATAAATAAATAATGATTTTTTTAGACAAAATTTGTAATACTATTTGTTCCCATATTAATATATGTGGATACAGTAATTGACTACATCTGCCAAAGCAGAGGAGTAAAAGGACCTGCATGATTAAAAAAACTAAACATTTTACCCAAAATGGTCAAATGTTAAATGTGTATAGACAGTGATAGGTTAGGTAAGCATCTTGTAGTCTAAAGAGTCACTACAACAGACATAACACAAAGAGACATAGGTAAAAACGTAATAGTTAAATTTAAATGGATTGATAAAAATATTCAAATAATTTAAAAGAAGAGAAAAAGAAGAAAAAGGAACAACTGTTACAAGGAAGAAGCAGAAAACAAATCATAAAATGATCAAACTAAAGCCAGTCTTACCAATAATTTTATTCAATGTTACTCTCCCAAACACACTAACTAAAAAGTAGATTTAAAATGAAACTAAACTATATGTGTATATAAGAAACCCATTTTAAATTTGGAGTCTTAGATAAGTTAATGGTAAAGAGATGGAGAATTATATAGCAAGAGAATGTTAATTATAGTAAACATGGAAAGGCTATATTGGTATCAGACAAAGTAAACTTTAGAACAAAGAAAATTATCAGATATAAACAGTGTCATTGCATAATGATAGAAGATCAACCCTCCAAGAAGCCAATATAATCATAAATATGTGTTAATATAACAAACTAATTTAAAAATACATATAATAAAAATGAATATAAATAACAATAGAAATAAACAAGTACATAATTATACATGGAGACATCAACACTCCTATCTCAGCAATTGTTAGAACAAGCCCATAAAATATAAAGAAGGATATAAAATGTTTAAATAATACTATGGAAAAATTTGACCTGAAATTTATAAATTGTTCGACCCCATATCAGAATGCATTTTTTTAAGCCACCAAGATAGATCATATGCTATGTCATAAAACAAACTATAATTGATTTAAAATAATGCAAATCATACAAATACATCATCTGATTTAAATAACATTTAAAAACTAATGATAGATAGATATCTGAAAAATCATCAAATATTTGAAGATGAAGAAACATATTTCAAAATAACTCATAGGCCACGTAGGAAGTCTCAAGAAAAATGTGAAACTATTTTGAACAAAAAGAATATTTAATCTACAATGTATCAAAATTTTTGGGACTTTGCTAAGGAAGTGCTTGCAGGGAAATTAATATCATTAAATTCTTATATTACAAGAGAAGAAATAATTCAAGGTTTTCCTCTTCTTAGGAAAATCAACGAATTCAAAAGCTTGGTTTTTCAAAAGTTTAACAAAATGGATAACGTTCTAGTCATTCTAATAAAATTTGTATCAAACAAAGATACGAATTACCAATAGCAGGAGTGAACTGGGGATAATAGTACATTCGCTACAGATATGAGTAATAAGGAATACTACAAAATGTTAAGCTTATAAATTAAACACATTAGTTTAAAAAACAATTTTTGAAAGGCATAAACTATAAAAATTCACTCAAAAAGAAAGAAATAATTTGTATAGCTCTATATCTATAAAAGTACTGACATTAGTAGGTGAAAACCATCCATTAAGAAAAATTATCACAAATGATTTAATAGCTAATGCTCTCAAACATTTAATGAAGAAAAAATGCCTATTCTACACAACGTCTTCCAGAAGAGAAAAACATCTCCAAACGTATTTTATGAAGGCAGAAGTTAAGCTGATACTAAAACAAGAAAAATATATTTCCAGAAATGTAGCTTACAGACTAATAACCTTCATGATCAAGAATCAGAGTCTTTCTCTCAGATTTTTAAACCTGGCCTTAAGAAAAGACAGTGTCTTTCTGTTGATTTACTTTGTGAGACCTGAGCCTGGCTGTAATCGGTGGCCTTGTTCTCCATCTCACACCCATTTGTAGATGTTTTGAAGAAGAGAAAGAATGGCCTAGCAGCAGAGGACAGAGTTTAAAAGTTGGAAAGTCCTCTTGAAATTCTAATTATTCCTAGAGTTTAGCAATCCTTATGCCCTTCCTGGGGTTTATTTACAAGTCAATACATTTCCTTGTTTTGAAAGTCGGAGCCAAAAGTTGTTATTATATCTTGTTAAAATAATTAATTAGGAGGCCTCATAAGCATTTACTCAATGTAAGTAGTAAAAGAAAACATAAGCTTAACAAATCAGAAACCACCAATTTAACTTCTAATTCAGTAGTGACTTTCCAGTTTAGACAATCAAATATTTTATTTGTCTTGCTTCATAGAAATTTTATAAAAGTTTTTCTCCCACGCCCCCTCAATGGATCTCTGAACCACTTGCAGTTTGGCACTGACCCATTCATGAATCACTGTCTCAAATAAACTCATTAAAGTTTGAATGCACCTAAGATTATCTTTTAATGCTGTAATTCATATATTGACTAATATTCCCATCTTACACTACCTTACCAACCACTTAACCAGTACTTGGGTTACTCTGCAGATTTTGAGAGTGGATCATCACTTAGGATATATTTTATCTTTTCTGACATAATTCCATTTTGTTTCTGTGAAGAGTTCCCTATTTCAAGTGTTCTCTGCAAGGTCTGATCACTTACAGAAGCTTTCCTTTTGACACTTTATAAGTCTTCTGCATATTATAATTATTTGTGATTTTTTTATTATTAACATAAATGAAAAAAACAAAGCTATCCATTTCTAGCCAAAGTCATTTTTTAAACATTTTTTTCTAGGTCCACTGAGATATTAAAAATGTCTTGTCATCCATGAAAAAATAAGATAAAATATTAAAAGACTAGACCAATAAGAAAAAAAATCTGTAAAGTTGGAGGATACAAAATCAACATACAAAAAGCAGTAGTGTTCCTATACACTAACAACAAATTATTAAAAAAAAAGAAAACAATATTATTTAGAATACCATCCATCTCCAAAAAATAACATACTTAGGAATAAATTTAACCAAGATGATTTAGCCAAGATTCTCTTGCCTTGACCTCCCGAAGTGATAGAATTACAGGTATGAACCGCCACATCTAGCCCAGTTGATAGTTTTTTCTCAGTGTACCTCAATTTTTGATCCATGGTCCACTGCTCATGAAATAACCCCAAATCAGTAATTTGCAAGTTGGTAGTTCAAGGGCCTTGGAATTTCTGCCCAGCAGGGAATTCCTCTGATGTGAAGTCGTCACTTCGTGGAACCCCCTTGGGCTGGCAGAGACGTCAGGTCTGCATTACAGTGGCACTGCTCCCCTTCACCGATTCTGTGTTCTTCCTCTCCTTCTGTAAGTTCTACTTCACAATAAAACTCTTGAAGTAACTCTGAGTTCAATATTTCCTTCCCATAGGCCATATTTAAAGTGAATAATACTTACTAGCTGCCAAGAATTATATTTCATCTGGTTTTGCGTATTCATGGAATTCCCAATGGCTTGATTGAATTGAACCCCCAAATAACAATATATTTCATTGGTCTCTCGTTGAGACCGTGCTAGCATGATGTGTAAAATCATCTCTAAAGTATGAAAATAGGAGTTAAAGATGTTATTTGGAAATAAACAACTGTGTAAGATTTCTAATAACTTTTGGTGCTCCACATTTTTTCCTCATCTGCAGATTAGCTATTACTTAGCATAGTTTGGAAAGTATTTCATTACACAAAATTGCTTAGTAAAATATTTTCCTTTGGGTAAGGTCAGGAAATTAATCATGTTTTTCCAAAATGTCTGGGTCTTCTCTTACCATATACTGTTTGTTTAGCTATCAGGAAAAAAAAGATAGAAAAAATGTAGTGGATTTTATTTTAAAATAAAATAGCAGGCTAAGTATAAGGCTGAACCTTATACTTAAAAAACCGAACGTTATTAATTAAAATTGAGTCTGAGTTTAAAAATATTATGCGGAACAATTAATAACCAGAAACAGAAATGTCTTTTCTAGTCATTAAACAAATGAATTTATGGATACTGATTCTTTAGTTTTCATACACCAATTTTTAATATTATATAATTAATGATTTTTCCAAATTATAAAAATAATCTTATATTTTGTCAGAATTTTTAGATTGCTTTAATAATATGAAGATGTCATCACTCAATAAATATAATTGAACTAATGCTTGATAAATACATATATATTTGATACAAACTAGCAAATCAATCAAAAAATATTTATAATTGCAAATATATTTATCAACTTTACCAGATGTCTTGACTTTGGCTACTTGTATTGAAATCTAAATATTTGCTATTTCACATCTCTCGTATTAACATATTCATTATAATTTGAAGAGGATCTCTCAGAAAAGTATTGAAGGAGTTTGGAACATGCTACCACAAAATATGCCACTCTAGCATATTGACTACTTTGAGTTATAGGCACTTAAAAAGCAGTAGGTTCAAGAAGATCTCTTTATTTATTTATTTATTTTTTTGGACTTTAAGTTTCATTTATTTCTTTTTTTTTTTATACTTTAAGTTTTAGGGTACATGTACACATTGTGCAGGTTAGTTACATATGTATACATGTGCCATGCTGGTGTGGTGCACCCACTAACTTGTCAACTAGCATTAGGTATATCTCCCAATGCTATCCCTCCCCCATCCCCCCACACCACAACAGTCCCCAGAGTGTGATGTTCCCCTTCCTGTGTCCATGTGATCTCATTGTTCAATTCCCAACTATGAGTGAGAATATGCGGTGTTTGGTTTTTTTTTCTTGCGATAGTTTACTGAGAATGATGATTTCCAATTTCATCCATGTCCCTACAAAGGACATGAACTCATCACTTTTTATCACTGCATAGTATTCCATGGTGTATATGGGCCACATTTTCTTAATCCAGTCTATCATTGTTGGACATTTGGGTTGGTTCCAAGTCTTTGCTATTGTGAATAATGCCGCAATAAACATACATGTGCATGTGTCTTTATAGCAGCATGATTTATAGTCCTTTGGGTATATACCCAGTAATGGGATGGCTGGGTCAAATGGTATTTCTAGTTCTAGATCCCTGAGGAATCGCCACACTGACTTCCACAATGGTTGAACTAGTTTACAGTCCCACCAACAGTGTAAAAGTGTTCCTATTTCTCCACATCCTCTCCAGCACCTGTTGTTTCCTGACTTTTTAATGATTGCCATTCTAACTGGTGTGAGATGGTATCTCATTGTGGTTTTGATTTGCATTTCTCTGATGGCCAGTGATGGTGAGCATTTTTTCATGTGCCTTTTGGCTGCATAAATGTCTTCTTTTGAGAAGTGTCTGTTCATGTCCTTCGCCCACTTTTTGATGGGGTTGTTTGTTTTTTTTCTTGTAAATTTGTTTGAGTTCATTGTAGATTCTGGATATTAGCCCTTTGTCAGATGAGTAGGTTGCGAAAATTTTCTCCCATTTTGTAGGTTGCCTGCTCACTCTGATGGTAGTTTCTTTTGCTGTGCAGAAGCTCTTTAGTTTAATTAGATCCCATTTGTCAATTTTGGCTTTTGTTGCCATTGCTTTTGGTGTTTTAGACATGAAGTCCTTGCCCATGCCTATGTCCTGAATGGTAATGCCTAGGTTTTCTTCTAGGGTTTTTATGGTTTTAGGTCTAATGTTTAAGCCTTTAATCCATCTTGAATTGATTTTTGTATAAGGTGTAAGGAAGGAATCCAGTTTCAGCTTTCTACATATGGCTAGCCAGTTTTCCCAGCACCATTTATTAAATAGGGAATCCTTTCCCCATTGCTTGTTTTTGTCAGGTTTGTCAAAGATCAGATAGTTGTAGATATGTGGCATTATTTCTGAGGGCTCTGTTCTGTTCCATTGATCTATATCTCTGTTTTGGTACCAGTACCATGCTGTTTTGGTTACTGTAGCCTTGTAGTATAGTTTGAAGTCAGGTAGCCTGATGCCTCCAGCTTTGTTCTTTTGGCTTAGGATTGACTTGGTGATGCGGGCTCTTTTTTGGCGCCATATGAACTTTAAAGTAGTTTTTTCGAATTGTGTGAAGAAAGGCATTGGTAGCTTGATGGGGATGGCATTGAATCTATAAATTACCTTGGGCAGTATGGCCATTTTCATGATATTGATTCTTCCTACCCATGAGCATGGAATGTTCTTCCATTTGTTTATATCCTCTTTTATTTCTTTGAGCAGTGGTTTGTAGTTCTCCTTGAAGAGGTCCTTCACATCCCTTGTAAGTTGGATTCCTAGGTATTTTATTCTCTTTGAAGCAATTGTGAATGGGAGTTCACTCATGATTTGGCTCTCTGTTTGTCTGTTGTTGGTGTATAGGAATGCTTGTGATTTTTGCACATTGATTTTGTATCCTGAGACTTTGCTGAAGTTGCTTATCAGCTTAAGGAGATTTTGGGCTGAGACAATGGGGTTTTCTAGATATACAATCATGTCATCTGCAAACAGGGACAATTTGACTTCCTCTTTTCCTAATTGAATACCCTTTATTTCCTTCTCCTGCCTAATTGCCCTGGCCAGAACTTCCAACACTATGTTGAATAGGAGTGGTGAGAGAGGGCATCCCTGTCTTGTGCCAGTTTTCAAAGGGAATGTTTCCAGTTTTTGCCCATTCAATATGATATTGGCTGTGGGTTTGTCATAGATAGCTCTTATTATTTTGAAATATGTCCCATCAATACCTAATTTATTGAGAGTTCTTAGCATGAAGGGTTGTTGAATTTTGTTAAAGGCCTTTTCTGCATCTATTGAGATAATCATGTGGTTTTTGTCTTTGGCTCTGTTTATATGCTGGATTACATTTATTGATTTGCACATATTGAACCAGCCTTGCATCCCAGGGATGAAGCCCACTTGATCATGGTGGATAATCTTCTTGATGTGCTGCTGGATTTGTTTTGCCAGTATTTTATTGAGGATTTTTGCATCAATGTTCATCAAGGATATTGGTCTAAAATTCTCTTTTTTGGTTGTGTCTCTGCCCGGCTTTGGTATCAAAATGACGCTGGCCTCATAAAATGAGTTAGGGAGGATTCCCTCTTTTTCTATTGATTGGAATAGTTTCAGAAGGAATGGTACCAGTTCCTCCTTGTACCTCTGGTAGAATTCGGCTGTGAATCCATCTGGTCCTGGACTCTTTTTGGTTGGTAAGCTATTGATTATTGCCACAATTTCAGATCCTATTATTGGTCTATTCAGAGATTCAACTTCTTCCTGGTTTAGTCTTGGGAGAGTGTATGTGTCAAGGAATTTATCCATTTCTTCTAGATTTTCTAGTTTATTTGCGTAGAGGTGTTTGTAGTATTCTCTGATGGTAGTCTGTATTTCTGTGGGATCAGTGGTGATATCCCCTTTATCATTTTTTATTGCATCTATTTGATTCTTCTCTATATGGGACTATGTGAAAAGACCAAATCTACGTCTGATTGGTGTACCTGAAAGTGATGGGGAGAATGGAACCAAGTTGGAAAACACTCTGCAGGGTATTATCCAGGAGAACGTCCCCAATCTAGCAAGGCAGGCCAATGTTCAGATTCAGGAAATACAGAGAACGCCACAAAGATACTCCTCGAGAAGAGCAACTCCAAGACACATAATTGTCAGATTCACCAAAGTTGAAATGAAGGAAAAAATGTTAAGGGCAGCCAGAGAGAAAGGTCGGGTTACCCTCAAAGGGAAGCCCATCAGACTAACAGTGGATCTCTCGGCAGAAACCCTACAAGCCAGAAGAGAGTGGGGGCCAATATTCAACATTCTTAAAGAAAAGAATTTTCAACCCAGAATTTCATATCCAGCCAAACTAAGCTTCATAAGTGAAGGAGAAATAATATACTTTACAGACAAGCAAATGCTGAGAGATTTTGTCACCCCCAGGCCTGCCCTAAAAGAGCTCCTGAAGGAAGCACTAAACATGGAAAGGAACAACCAGTACCAGCCGCTGCAAAATCATGCCAAAATGTAAAGACCATCGAGACTAGGAAGAAACTGCATCAACTAATGAGCAAAATAACCAGCTAACATCATAATGACAGGATCAAATTCACACATAACACTACTAACTTTAAATGTAAATGTACTAAATGCTCCAATTAAAAGACAGACTGGCAAATTGGATAAAGAGTCAAGACCCATCAGTGTGCTGTATTCAGGAAACCCAACTCACGTGCAGAGACACACATAGGCTCAAAATAAAAGGACGGAGGAAGATCTACCAAGCAAATGGAAAACAAAAAAAGGCAGGGGTTGCAATCCTAGTCTCTGATAAAACAGACTTTAAACCAACAAAGATCAAAAGAGACAAAGAAGGCCATTAAATAATGGTAAAGGGATCAATTCAACAAGAAGAGCTAACTATCCTAAATATATATGCACCCAATACAGGAGCACCCAGATTCATAAAGCAAGTCCTGAGTGACCTACAAAGAGACTTAGACTCCCACACATTAATAATGGGAGACTTTAACACCCCACTGTCAACATTAGACAGATCAACGAGACAGAAAGTCAACAAGGATACCCAGGAATTGAACTCAGCTCTGCACCAAGCGGACCTAATAGACATCTACAGAACTCTCCACCCCAAATCAACAGAATATACATTTTTTCCAGCACCACACCACACCTATTCCAAAATTGACCACATACTTGGAAGTAAAGCTCTCCTCAGCAAATGTAAAAGAACAGAGATTATAACAAACTATCTCTCAGACCACAGTGCAATCAAACTAGAACTCAGGATTAAGAATCTCACTCAAAACCGCTCAACTACATGGAAACTGAACAACCTGCTCCTGAATGACTACTGGGTACATAATGAAATGAAGGCAGAAATAAAGATGTTCTTTGAAACCAATGAGAACAAAGACACAACATACCAGAATCTCTGGGATGCATTCAAAGCAGTGTGTAGAGGGAAATTTATAGCACTAAATGCCCACAAGAGAAAGCAGGAAAGATCCAAAATTGACACCCTAACATCACATTTAAAAGAACTAGAAAACAAGAGCAAACACATTCAAAAGCTAGCAGAAGGCAAGAAATAACTAAAATCAGAGCAGAACTGAAGGAAATAGAGACACAAAAAACCCTTCAAAAAATTAATGAATCCAGGAGCTGGTTTTTTGAAAGGATCAACAAAATTGATAGAACGCTAGCAAGACTAATAAAGAAAAAAACAAGATCTCTTTAAAGCAGGAGACAAATTTCCCATATGAGAGTTGCCTTCCCTGTACCAGCAGAAATTGAGGTCAAGGGAAATTTGTACAAACAAACCTTGTTAGACTAACCCTTATCTTCCTAGTCACTTCTCTATTTAATGAATTACCCTAGCCCAAGCCTCTTTGCCTTGTCCCATTTTCAAAATTTACTCGTATTTTTCCAATGCAGTATGTAAGTATCCAATTCTAACTGCATACTTCGATCTTCATTTCCTTATAAAGGTTCCCATGCCACAAAACTTGTATTAAGTAAATCTGTATGCTTTTTTCCTGTTGATGGGTATTATGTCAATTTAATTCTCAGGCTTAGCCAAATAACTCTAAGGAAGTATAGGTAAAGTCTTTCCTCCCCTAAAATAAAATAGAGTTAATTTTATAATAAATAAAGTCTGTCTTTACATTTTGGGATATCTTAACAAAAATGTTTGTATAATAAAACTAAAATCTGTCATAAATATTTTAACATTATATGGTGTTTTTTCACATTAAGTTCATCCACTTACAACTTTTTTTCATTTCATGATGGCAAAGTACAAATGATACATTTGAAGATTTATCTTTGTTTAAAACCTAATAAATATTTATTGTTTTATAATGCAACACAATTTCACTTCATGGAAGTACTTAATTATTTCAACCTAGAAAGTTCCCTAAAAGAAAGTTTTGTCATGTTGTGTTACATTTACTAACATTAAATGCATGCATACATTGAAAAGCTTAAAATACTTTTCCTTTATTTCAACCTCTTATATACTAGTTCATTGTATTTCAGCACATCTACTTGTTAAATTTGCTATTATAAGAAGGATATATCCTTATTGCATTTTTCTTCGCAGATTCTAGCATAATCATTTGGACTTAGCAGGCACAGTAGGGATTTGGAGAATTATTAATTCAAGTCCTCTAAGATTTCCCTAGAACTTGCTAGGTACCATGAAATATAAAGGTAATGACCATGTTAGGTCGGCTGTTATTTTGTTTGTTCCTTACTGGAAAAGATGGCACTGTTTCCCCTCCCCCTTTGAATCTGGGATAGATTTGTTATTTGCTTTCAACAGTACAAAGTGATAGAAGTGACAATGGGAGTTCTGGAGCCTTGACTTCCAGAGGTTTTGCAGCTTCCATCTTCACCCTCTTGAATGTTGCCTTATGTCATCATCTTAAGAAACCAGTCTAGCTTACTGGAGGATGAGAATGCATACAGAACTGACATCCTCCTGGCAGTCAGCTAGTACACATTAACAAACATATGCATGAGGCCATCTTGAACCTTCTAGCCAAGCTAGAATGAGGCTCATGTCTGAGACCAGGAGAGACCAACAAAAGAATCTCTTAGGTAACCTACAGAATTATGAGAAATCATACATTGTCATTTTAGGCTGCTAAGCTTTAGGATTGTTTGTTATGCAGCAATGGCTAATTGATGCAATTGTTAACAAAAGAGTAAGTGCAATAATTTAAGAAAAAAAGAATTATCTAGATTAACTATATATAAAAAAGATGAGCTGGCATAACACTGTAACGAGTATATAGTTCTCAAAGGGAATGTAAAAAGAAGAGGCCAGATAAAAATACACATTGTTTTAAGATAGAGAGTGTGTTAACTGAGTAAAGTTGAGGCAGTTCACATAAAACTTACATTTTCATCATTGATATATTGATATAATTGTATGGGTATAAACTTATACACATGTATAATTATAGACCCATATATTTTCATATATATATATATAGTGTGTGTATGTATATGAATAATGATAATCACACACACAAGAAAACACTGTTAAAAATTATGCTGAGGTATGCATTCATTATTTGGCCTTCTGAATACTAAAGACAGAGACAAATAAATGCTTTTGTTCAAATGTTAAGATTGAAGCTAATTTTTAACTTGATTACATTGTAAAGTATATTTCTAACTGTGAGTCATGGTCAACATATATCAGTGACTTATTATAAATGGCGATACAAATGGTACATAAGTTTGTAAGATGTTTAGCAAATGAAAAGAGAAGAAAATGGAAATTACCAGGAAAGAACGAGTACTAGAATGAAGAGTGTTCACAACACTTACTTTGTATTATGCACTTTCTGTCTTCCAGTTGCAATGCCAGGCACTCTTTATACATTTTTTCTAAGTGTCCAAAAACATTATGAAATATGCATTGTTAATTCTATACTATATGTGAAAAAACTGAAAGAGATATTTCATACTTGTTAAATGGTCAAAACTGTATAAAGTGGAAAAACCTCAATATCACATACAACAACACTGAACATAAACCATTTTCAATTCAGACATCATTAAAAATTCAAAGAATGTGCCATAAGGAAACAGTTGATGAAAATGGAACTCACTCTACAATATCTTCTACTCCACCATTAGTATTTAATAGTTTCACAGCTGAAAGTACTGGGAAATTATCTTGAAGAAATATGTCAAAAACATAAGTTCTGATGTTTTAAATAATAAAATGTTAATATTTTCATGTTTTATAAAATTTTATATTTATTTATCATTTGCTAAATATTTCTTCTATGATAGTAGACACAATTTTGGCTTCTGCTTCAGCTTAATTTTGATTTTAAAACTTGGTCTTTTGCCAAGATTATAACACCAAGCACCGATATAACACTTACTGTGTGCCAAACATTGTTCTAGGCATTTAATACATATTAACTTAACATAACAAAGCTCTAAGAGGTAATTACTGCTACTATTGACATTATTTGTTAAGAAAACAGAGGTAGGAAAAGGTGAAAAAATTACTAAATTGAAACAGCTAGTAAGTAATGGAACCAAATTACACCAAGCCTGCTCGGAACCAAAACACTGACTGTCTGCTCCATTCACACTCTAGCCAAAATTCCAAAGTACACGTAATGAGTCTTTCCTTCATTATGACAGATTTTTTAATACAATTTTATTTTCTATCCTATTTTACTTCTAGTTTATTCTATTGATAAATGCCAGTCATAATTCTTTAAAGTACTGTATTAGTTTTCTAGACTGCTATAGCAAATTACCACAAACAAGGTACCTTATAACAAGAAAAATGTATTCTGTCACAGTTCTGGAGTCTGGAAGAACTGTGACTGTTGGAGAGGCCATGCTACTTTTGAAGCCTCTCCAGGCTCTGGTAGTTCCAGTCATACTTTGGTTTGTAGCAGTACAACTGTAATCTTTGCCTCTGTCTTCACCTGGCTGTCTTCCCTCTATGTGTTTATGTCTTTTTGATCCCACCCTAATGACCTTGTATAACTTGATTATATCTGCAAAAACCCTACTTCCAAACAATGTTACATTCACAGATATGGGGTGGGAGTGGTGCTTAGCAGTTCAAAATATCTTTTTGGGGGGCATGATACAACTCTCAACAACTACTTATATATGGGTCTCAATATATTTTAAAAACACAGCCTTGTACCATGTTCTCAAGCAGTGGTATTCTTAAACTTCGGAGAAAAATAGCAGAGGTAGTTCACATATTATATTGAATGTTTCTAAAAATCATATTAATGATTTTAAAATCTCATAGATCATCAAAATTACCTGAGGGCCTCTTAAGCATATGTCTTTCTATCTTATACACACAGACACAAGCAGAAAGACACACACACACACACACACACACACACACACATATTGCTGAAGCCACCAGAGGCTTACTGAATCACGATTTCCAGATATTTACATTTTAAAGATATTTCCCAAATGATTGTTTGTCCAAACAGGTTTGGAAGCCATTGCCTTAAAAAACTTGGAGATATTTAATGAAGGAGATAGATGTGTTAAACTTAAGGCCAAAATACATCTTCTCCTTTGATGTGTTCTTGCAGCAATCCTGCTAAGCTGAGTGGTGAACACAAAATAACAAGGCAGAAACATTGGATCATTGACTTCAGGTATAGCCAAGGGAAGACTAAAGGCTGTCAAATGCAAACGTCTGCATTTTTTTTATCTTCGATCTCCAGTTTTTCAGAAATTCCACTGACCAGAAATTATATGCTATTGCCGAGAAATAGTAATGATATTTGAAGGAATTTTAAAAACCAGTCTAAATATATTTCCTTTCTTAAAACAACATACAATGTTTTTTATTATGAGGTGTTGTTTGTTCAGTTTCCTTCTACATGTAGCCTCTGAACACAAGGAATAAAAAAAGATCATTTCTTCATAAAACTTAACAAGAACTATCTTTCTTTTTCTTGTCCATTTCAAAATATTATATAAAAATATAGGAATAAATTGTTTAGTTAAAAACTCAAATAAGAAAGAAGAGCTCATCTATAGGGGTCCACTGTAAACAATATGGAATATCATCTTCTAGGTTCTATATACTTATACATAATATGAGTAGTTTCATATTTTACATAAAGTTCTAATTTTTGCCTTTATCTTTTAAAACGCGCCTTGGAGATCTTTTCGTATCAGTACATTTATATTGATTTTATTCAATAGAACCACTTTCTAATATTTGTTTAATCATAGCGTTTTCATTGTTCCAACAATTTGCTCATTAAATAATGATGCAATTAATTTTCTCATGTGTCTCATTGTGTACAAATGCAAGGAATTACCTATGCTGTATATATTAGAAATGCAGTAAATGATTTTCCCACATTAAAATTATACAGGAAATTACCTCCAAGTGAATGTGTCACTTCCTCCCTCCTCCCAATTTCACAAGGCATTAGACTAATGCTTTTCCTCAAATTCACCAATAATGGATATTTTTTATCTCTCCGTCTTGGCAATTTGAAAGTTTAAGTATATTCTCCAAAACCTCAGCAGCTATACAAGATATGACCAATCTCTTTATATTTGAACTGTAAATATTAAAATATTTTGTTGTCATTTTGGTTTTGTATTGCTGATTTTGATGAGATAAAGGTGCTTTTCTTATACTTATTGACCATTTATGTTTTTTCCACCATGAGTTGGTTTTTGTATTTTGCACATTTTTTGAGATCTTTAGCATTTCCATAATAAATTCTAGGGAGTCTTTGTGGATTCTGGATTTTGCAAATATTCTGAATAAATATTGCAAATAGTGTTGTCTCTTCCTTCAAATTTAGTTTACTGTATCTTTCGTATAAATACATTTTTATTACATGTTAATATTCATCAGTAATTTCTTCTATTTTCTATATAAATAATTATAGAATAAATGCTTAATCAAAATCAGCTGGGTGTAGTGGCTCATGCCTGTAATCCCAGCAATTTGGGAGGCTGAGGCAGGTGGATCACTTGAAGTCAGGATTTCAAGATGAGCCTGGCCAACATGGTAAAACCCTGTCTCTACTAAAAAAAAAAAAAAAGGTAGAAAGATTAGCCAGGCACAGTGCGGGGGCACCTGTAATCCCAGCTACTTGGGAGGCTGAGGGAGGAGAATCCCTTGAACCCAGGAGGCAGAGATTGCAGTGAGCTGAGATCACGCCATTGCACTCCAGCCTGGGTGACAGAGTGAGATTATGCTTCAAAAAACAAAAACAAAAACAAAACAAAATTAGCTTTATTTGTTTCTATTAAAAGAAAAATGAAAACTGTTCTAGAATAAAATCAAATAAGGCGACTATCCTTGAATAAAGGAAAACAACCAGTTTTTGGCCTTAACCATTTGAAGGCTCTGCATGTAATTGTTTAGACAATGCGGATAAGGCCAAAATGAATCGAAAGAGAACTTGAACAGGTGTTTAAATATATCTGCTTTCATTTGTAATGGTCAAGAGACAAGACCTCTTATTCTAACTTTGTCTTGTAATTTATTTATATTTATCTTAGAAATATAAAAACATTGAACTCTCTTAAGAGTTCAAAAATTAAAAGCAATTAGAGCTTGTATTTTAAAAATAGCACTGACAAATTAGAGTCATGGTAATGCTTAAATGGCTCTTTTAGGATGTAAAACTTTGCATACTTTGTTGTTAAATAGCTGATTTAATGCTAAAATACATTTCTGTTTTAAAACTCTTGTAATCTCATGCATCAATTGTTTAAGTTCCACTAATGCAATAAATAGAAGAATAAAGTATTTGTTGAGATAATGAAATTCTGATTTAAAATATACCAGTGATTTTCTTTGGACCTTGAAGAGACCGCTTATAAATTATACAGCAAAATTAGTTTTATTCATATTTAAAATTTAGGATATGGATAGAAGCATGGTTTGGGGCAGGGACAGATCACTTTAAGAAAGCCAGGTCTGCCATTTGGGCAAGTTATTTAACCCTCTCAGTCTCATTTCCTTTATTTGTAAAATGGAGATAATAATAACTTACATTATAGCACAATTTGGAGGATTAAGATGCACTTAGAACAATGCCTGATGCATAATAATAAATGCTAATTATTCATATATTTATTAATTTGTTTTAAAATTGGTTCTCTTATTTTGTTGCATCAACATTTAAAGGATGATTTACTTTAAAAGCTATTTCTATTAATTATAAAATACCATTTGGCAATTGACAAACTTTTCCATGTCTTCTGATGAACCAGAGTACTGGACTAAGGAAAAACAAAACAAAACAAAACACCATTACTAAATTAAATTGACCTGAATTCTAAGTAAAGGGTAAGTTTTGACAGGAGATAAGTTCATATAATTTCACTTACTGTTCAGTCAGTTTTGTTAGTTCTCGCAGAATTAGACAATTTTGCTCTTGCCTTGGTGTGAATAACTAATTGCAGTAATTAACCTAACTTTAAAATGCACATGCAAGTGGCTTCCAAATTTTCTTTAAGGCCTTAACCCTCAAAGTATCTAAAACATCCATCCCAACTGGAATGATCTACTTAGGTCATCTCTGAATGACAGGTGGTCTAATGCAAAAACTAACGAATCTCTGAACACTGGGGTAAAACAGATTATAAGCCTACATTTATCCTTAAGAAGTAATTCAGAAAGATATTTCAAAGCTTATCAATATTATGTTGGATATATTTTTTCTTTTATTATTCTATTCAAGATATAATTTTTCTATGTAAGGAGTTACACTATTTCTATACGATATATATTAGAGGTAATTTTGGAGCTATGATTGTGTTAGAATAATAGAGAAAAATGGCTAATAGGGGATACTTCTGACTTCCATATGAATTTAATTTGTGAGATCTTTGCTCTCCAAGAAAAAGTAAACTTCTTCCAGTCATTTACTCTAGAGCCATACTCCGTCCCCTCAGAGTTGGGGAGGGTAATTTTCCAGTGTCTATCATGTGTGGCATCACGTTTCCCATTACTCCACCTCTCTAGTGAGGCTCAAAAACTTGACACAACATGACTAACAGGATGATGGTTGAAGATGTGGAGGGCTGAAGGGACTCTTACTCATTAAAAAGGAGTAGAGAAAGAAGAATGTGGAATAACATGCCTTGATAAGATGACTCAACTTAAAACACACCAGTTTGAAGAATGAGGAGGACAACATAACAGCGATAATTAGGTTGGAACAAAGAAATCTGTTGAGAGAAAAGGAGATCTCTCAAAACCTTTATGAGAAATTCTTCATCAGGAAAAGAAAACTGTTTTGAGTTAGAAGAAAAAAATGTTTTAAAGTGAGATATGTTGATTCTTTTCTCTGATTTAAACCTATTATTGCTAGTGGGAAAAGCAAGTAACAAGGAAAGCTGCAAAATCTAGGGAAATGACAAGAATTTACATGAGTCCACAGCACAGTTGTTTCAGGGCAATTTTTTTGCCGGTTGTTTATCCACTAGTATTCTGAAAGGTGATATGATTCATCTTTGAAAAGAAGTTTGTGTGAATCATGTTTTACAGTCTCTTTATTTGTAATCTGTGAATTTGCCCTTTCATCTGACACCATTGTTACTTCGAATAGGGAAAAAAGCAAAAGTTTCTAGGGTTGGAAGGATAGAATGTTAACAAATGGAGAATCTCAGCAAGAACTCTTGCTTTTATAAGAACTAGGACTATTAAAATATCATGGTTTATTTAAGTGAGTGTGAAGACTGAAGTAGAAGTCTGACTTTAGAAACTGCAGAAAAATAGAAGAGGTAATTTGTATTAGTCATTCATAGTCCTGATAGAAGACAGATAGCAAAATCTAATCTAAAAATTAATATTTAATAAACGAACTATTTGTGAAGATATTATAAGATTAATAAGAACTATCAAGATTATCTAAATTATTTGGAGCTGAAATCACCCTTTGGCTTGAGAAACAATGGGGGGGAACAGTCATTGAGACCCAGAAAGAGAAGCTGTAGCTGTAATACATGCATTCCTCACTGAAAGAAGCTGTGGCCTTTGGCAGAGAGACACGGCCATACTGTGATGACCCTGCAGGGAGGGAGGGAGTAGAAATAAATATTTTCCAATTCTTCTATTGGGGCCAGAAAACAATGCTCCCAAAATATGATGCTTTGGCATGCTGCAAGGACTTCTTGACCTCTTCCCATCCCCACCGCCAACACAGGGTGAAATTCTATGCTAATATTTCCTTATCTACCTTAAGTCCAGACTGCCAAAGAGAACACAATTGCTTCTATCCCCTTGCTGAAATGTCATATTATCTATCACATCAAAGAAGACAGTAATGTAATCACATTTAGATGAACTTTGTTCAAATTCCAAAGAGAATCATTTACAAGCTAATTTGTGTCTTCTGAGTTCATTCATTCCCCCTACAAATTGCCCCCTACCCCTTAAAATTACACTTCCCCCTATCTCCTTTCCCTCTGTAAAGAAGGGTATATAAGCATCTGGACCTCAGCAGGTTATTCTGTAATCATGCTCTTGTGATTCCCTTTTGCTTATACACATTGAAAACATGTGTATGCCTTTTTGTCCTATTAATCTGCCTAGTGTCAGTTTATTTTCAGTGAACCTTTAGAGGGCAGAGGGGAAGTTTTCTCTGAGCCCTACACTCACATCTCTTGCCAATGCTTCCCATACGTTAAACAAAATTGGAAACCAGAAGTTAAGAGAGCCCTTTCATGTAGTCCACAGAGTTAGCTCCACATGACACAGAGAATAATGGTGGAGTGATCAAGCAGATCTTGAGAGAAAACAGAAAATATACAGAAAATATAAACCAAATGTCTAATGATACACAGCCAGGATATACTGTTATTGAAGAATTTTTTTTCTTTGATAGGTGTCCTTATAGGTGTTGAGAACACAAAGGTGAAAAAGTAAATCATAGCCCCTGCCTTCCTCAGAGCATGTATTTAATATAATGTGTGCATGTACCTATGTGTGTTCACACTTGTATCATTTACCTGGATAATATACATGCATGTAGCCAGATAAAATCTTGAAATAAGTATTTTTATGTTTTTCATTCTCATTCACGATTCACAAATCTTCCTCTGGTAGACAGAAAAAATTATCATGCCTGAAGGCAGATTAGATGTGTTACAGCAGGAATACAGGGAGGAAGCTAATATATGGTTTGTTTTTGTTTAATTCCTTTTTTATTTTTAAGCAAGGAATTGAAATCAAAAGGGGAAGATACTGAGGGGAGAGGAGATTTCAGACAATGTCGTAACAAGATAGGAATACAAAAAATGGGAGATGAAAACAACTTGGCCCTTACCATTACTCCCAAAATAGGTTCCCAGGGCTGTAAAGAGAGTGACATGATGGTAGATCCTGACCACTAAAGAGAGATGGAAGGAGTAGAAATAAATATGTTGAGACAGCTGAGCACATTTTGGTCAGTGCCAGGATTCTTCCTTTATACTGAGCATGACTGTAGACCATGTTTTATCATTCAAGTGAACATATAGCATCCTCCTTGTGAGAACACAGAAGCCAGTTATATAGTTGTTGGGTGAAGATTTTAGTAGCTCCCTATATTTTTGCTGCCTGTGGGGCCTGATTATTGCCTGGCAAAAAAAAAATTTCTTTATGTCTTCTGAAATTTTGCTCAGCACTCATCAACTCTTCTTTATGTCAGTAGTCCAAAAATTTTCCAAAACATCAGATGAAGTTCTTGAAGCACTCATGAATGAACAGTAATAATATAACGTTTAGTTGTATGTGTTAATTTGACTTGGCTAAGGAATGCCCACAAAGCTGGTAAAACATTATTTCAAGGTATGTCTGTGAAATGTTTCTGTAAGAGAGTAACATACGAATTGGTCGATAGAGCAAAAGAGATCTGCCCTTCCTACCAAGAAGCGCAGGAATCCTTCCTTCTTAGTTTTACGTGAAAGAAAATTCAGCAAAGGGACTAATTTAGCTTTAAAAAAAGGAGAGGGAGTTCATTGAAGGAAAATAGAGGACAGAGAGTTTACTTAGAGAGTACACTCTGAAAACATGAAGCAGAGTGGGCTGCTGAAAGGGAGTGAGCCAGCAGCACCTTGCATTGGGTTTTCATATCGAATTTTTTCTTGAAGTTCCCACCTCTGTCTTAAAGTCTCTGCCTTTTTTTGGTCTAGTTTTTCTTCTCTTGCCTTAAGTCCCCATGTTTTCTTCCTCCTAGTTCCCACCACAAGCTTGTGGTATGCTCCCTTAGTGCACATGCATGGCCTGGTGTTGGATCAAATCGTGCCTGCATATTTCTTAGGAATCTTCTCCTTTGCCCTCTTTCCCTAATTAGCAGGCACCTAGTGACATTCTGACGTTGTAACTGCAGAGTGAATAATTACTGGGCCTCTTAATGGGCATTCCTTCCTGCAAATGTATTTCCCCTCCTCTCTGCCTAGCATGCATGTTCTGGGTGGTCGCTGGAGTCTGAGATTATCTAGACCTCCATTTTCTCAGGGGCTCCTCGCTTCTCCTATGTCTCACTCTCTGCCTACTCTGACACTCTCACCAATGTGGATAGGCATCATCCAATCCACTGAGGGCCTCAACAGAACAAAAGAGCAGGAGAAGCCCAAATTAATCTCTCTACTTGAGCAAGGACATTCATCTTCTCCTGCCCTTGGCTACCAGCACTCTTGGTTCTGGGGCATGCAAACTCAGACTGAGAGTCACACTATTTAACTTCCCTGATTCTCAGGCCTTTGGATTTGGGAACTGGAATTACATCACTGGCTTTCTCAGTCGTCCATCTTACACACAGAACATCATGGGACTTCTCAGCTTCCATAATCAACTCAGCCAACCCTTATAGTAAGTTCTTCTCTGTATATCGATAGATAGATAGATAGATAGATAGATAGATAGATAGATAGATAGATAGATAGATGGATGTACTGTTGGTTCTTTCTCTGGAGAACCCAGAGTAATACAATATGGAAAAAAACCTTTTCAGCTGCAGAAACTCCCCAGTTTGGAGAGGCATGTGAGAGGGTATATGTAAAATAACTGTTGATGCTGAGAATGTGGCATCCTTAGAGTTTCGGAAATTGTAATTACATATATAATTTAGTTAATAGAAATTGTATGTACTTTTTCTTGCTTTTTAGTTGTCATATTTCTAGAAAACATCTTTATTATTCTCTATATATGCATTGTTGTTTTGATATTAATTGAAAACATTTTTATCTTTATTTTTCAGAATTTCTTAAAAGCAAAGAAACAAAGAAGTCTTCAGTTGTTTTAGTAAAAAGAACGATTTAGAGGTTTTGGAGCAGTCACAACTGAATTTGAATTCCGGATTGGATAATTTGTTACCTTTGCAATTTTCAGTTAATTAACTTTCATGAACGTTAGGGGGATTTTTTTTGTTGTTTTTTTAAAATAAGGGTAATAATGCAAAATGTGGATGGATATTGGACACATTAAATGTGTATAAAAATTTCCTAAGCCTACCACTCCACCATTCTCCCTTAAACTTACCATCATCAATCTGGCAATATTTTCTTGGGTAATATCAAACAGTATACGACCCAAGAACTGCTATAATTGCTACAATTTTCTCTATCCAATTCCAGATGGCCTGAAAATTTATTCTATCATTCCTGAGGGCCTCAGCAAGTTAGAGATATGAAAGCTTGAAAGAATACAAAGCTGTTTGCTCCATATCTTGCTGCCTCTTGTCTTAGTTCACATCTTGAAAACAGAAAATATTGCCTACACCCACTGTGACTTTTTTTTTCTAAGATCCCTTCCAGACACAAAAACTAAAAATCTCAGTTTCTTTTCACTTGCTCTCATACTAACGATGCTTCATAAACGCAGCAAATTTTGGAGAAAATCAAAGTTTAAAATGAAAACTATGTTTCACCCATCTGTGTCTAACTATGAAAATGTAAATGTAAAATACAGTAAATTGGATAAAGTAAATCCAGATTACTTTAGCAGGTAAATAGAAGGAAATAAGAGGTTTGTTTTATTGTTAATTTTCCATCAGTATTTTAGATAATTGATTTCACAAAAGCTGGAATATAAAACTTGGCCATAACATTGTCATGAAAATTATAAAATTAATGATGTAAAAAATGACCTCATAAATACTGTCATGTAAGGATATTCAAACCTAACTCACAGGAAATGACAAAGAAACATTAAGCTCTAAGTCAGATTCCAGGAGAACACCATATATTATGTTATTAAATATTATTGGTTTCCTGAAAGCCTTATATGAGGCACTTGTTCCACATTCTTCAAGAGCAGACAAGCTCCTGAAGTGCCCTCCCAATTCAATATTCCTGAGGGTATTTTAGACACTCAGACACAATGTTAAATTCATTACATTGTATAAACTCTTGAATAAAGAATGCATATTATCTAGTTAATTTTTTACTGAGAACCCTAACTTTAGAAGTAAACAAGGAAGCAAATGATAATGCTAAATATTCTATAAATAAGATATTTAAATAAGAATAGCCTCTTAATTAATTAAATTATTTTAAAGAAAAAATGTAGAAAGACTCTATTTTCGCCTGCTGCGGTGGCTCACGCCTGTAATCCCAGTACATTGGGAGCCGAGGCGGGCGGATCACAGGGTCAGAAGATGGAGACCATCCTGGCCAACATAGTGAAACACCGTCTCTACTAAAAATACAAAAAAATTAGCTGGGTGTGGCGGCACGTGCCTGTAGTCCCAGCTAGTCGGGAGGCTGAGGCAGGAGAATCGCTTGAACCTGGTAGGCGGAGGTTGCAGTGAGCCAAGATCGTGCCACTGCACTCCATCCTGGTGACAGAGTAAGACTCTATCAAAAAAAAAAAAAAAAAGAAAGAGCCTATTTTCAGATATTTAATATACAGTTATTTTTTAAAATTAGTTATATAGGTTTTTAAATTGACAGATAAAATGTATATATTTATGGTGCGGAACACAATGTTTTGGTATTTATATATTGTGGAATGGCTAAATCAAGCTAGTTAACATATAAATACCTCACACACTTTTTTTTTTTTTTTTTAGTGGTAAGAACACTTTAAGCAATGTTCACGTACTCAACACATTGTAATTATAGTTACATGTTATCATTATAATGATAATAAGTCTCTTGAATTTATTCATCTGATACACAGTTACTTATACAAACATTTACACATGTGCACACACACTCATACACATGTATGTAAGGTAAAGATGTATTTATGTGAAAGTCAAGAGGTTTAGAGAAAATATATTAACTCAGCAAAAAGAATGGATAAAATGTATTAACTTAGCAAAAAGAATCTTTCCTAATCTCCTGGTTTTGATATTGTAGTTTATGCAAGATGCTACCATTGGTTTAGGTTGGCTGAAGAATGCTTAGGATCTTCCTGCACATTTCTCTGAATTTGCTGTGAATCTATAGTTCAAAATAAATGTTTTATTAAGATTGAATATAGTTGGGCTAAAATGATATTTTCAAGTGCAATGAGCATTTGGAGGGAAATTATACTATGGTTGTGAAACAAAATAGTATTAAATGTGAGTTGAAAATGGATAAATTATTACAGCTACTAAATTTGACCATAGGGTTTAACATAGGAAGTAAAAAATCCATATAAATTTAAAAGTCCAATCTTGTGTAAGAATGAAAGATTGCCTTATGTGTTTATCTGGAGTTTATGGATATAATCATAATCTAGAACTTTTTGTGGGAAACATCGTAGAAAAAGAATAAGAACACTTAATTTGTGAAACTGCATGAAAAACATTTTCTAGAGAAAATTTAAAGCAGGATTATAAAAAACTTATTCCATTTCCCTCTTTCATTAGAAAGTTCATTTTGATTGTTTAGTAATATAATGAATGTTTTGAGTACAGTAAACATCTTGAGGCTAGATAATGAACTTATAAAATGGACTACCCCTTTGTCACACTTTATTCATCTGAAATCTAGGACAGTACTATTTTTCAAAGTATTATTTTTGTATGCTATAGTGCTACAAAATATTTGTTAACATTAATATATAAACTAAAAGAAACAGAGAAACATCTCTTAAAGTGGTTTGAAAAATCCTTTATGAAGCACACCAGAGACACACTTTAAAACTGTATAAAAGAATGAAATATAATAGCATAAGTTGATTTTAGATATTTTCAAAATTTAAGAAAAAAATAAGATATATGCAAACACAAATAATGTAGTTTTGTTTTTTTCAAACTTTTATTTGAAGTTCAATATGGTCTGTACAAAAGAAATGGAGTGAGTGGTAAAATTAGTGATTTTTAAATCCATTCCTGGGGAGTAAACAGGATTTCCATAATGCTCTGAAAGTATAGCTTTAAGGTATCATGAAAGAAAGGGCATGAAGTCACAAAGCCATTTATATAATCTCCTTCCAATCTATTAGCCATGATTTCTCCTCTTAATTTCTCTTCCATAGTGTACATTGTCAGGACAATATTTAATCTCAATTTCATGTTTTCTGATTATCACTCCACTCTGTTTATTCCGGTTAGTAAGTAGGAAATTCTGATTGAGTTACTTGTAAAATTTTTGCTAGTTTCTTTGTGAGCTTTTCAGTCCACTCTGCTTGAAAAAAGGAACAGTAGTTCTCCACATAAAGGACATTTGGGCAGCTTTGGAAACTTACGCACACATTAATATAGAAGAGTTGGAAAGAACTGCAATTGAACTGCTGAGATAATTCCTGTCAGCTGCAGCACTCAGAACTGGCTTGTGTCCCTCTGACGCCTTCTGGTCCTGTAGTCTCACTGAAGGCAGTGTTCTGCACATTATCTTTGATCCAGTTCTGCTTGAATGATTTTGGATAAAGATGGAACATTTTCTCACTCTTCAGAATTTTACTGTTACACTTGCTGCTCAAACTATGGAGTTATTTATTTGTCTTTTAACTATGAGGTAGTAATAAATTATGAGCTTAAAATTCACAAAACACATTTTCATTTCTAAGAATGGAAACAATCTATAGTGTCTAGACATAATAATCCAATGAGTCCTAGTATTTTTCAGTGTTTAAATAACAAAATTGAGATAGATAATCATTAGAATATATACCACTGTCTTGCAAAACACAAAAGACTCAGTGGCTTAAACAACAGAAATTTCTCAGTTCTGCAGGCAGAAAGTTCATAATCAGTGTGCTAGAATGGTTGGTGTCTTTCCCAGGTTTTGGACAGCCACCTTCTCATTGGGTCCTCATGGGGAAAAAAAGAGAGAAAGAGAGAGAACCATCTTTCTGGTGTCTTTTCTAATAAGGGCACTAATCCCATCATGAAGGCCCCACCCTTATGACTTGATTCTCCCTGAATAACTTCCCAAGGCCTCATCTCCAAATATCACCACATAGAAGGTTAGGATTCCATATACAAACTTCTGGGGACTGCAGATATTTAGTTCACAACATCTACCATATTAGCAATCTCTTTTAAGAAACATGTTTTAACAAAGAATAGGATATTTTTAAGAGTCCAGAGAAGTAGTATTCATAATACTCATAGCACTTGACAATGCTTTTAAGGGTACCACATCATTTTATATTGAAAATAAAATTCTGTGAGTTTATTAAGGGCTGATAAGTAATTGTGATATTGGCTTCCAGGGAATACTAGCAGAGATGAAAAATCTACCTGCTCCTTACCGTTGAAACTTGCTCTGAAAGGTACTGTGACTTGGTCACCATGCTACTGAGATATGATCCCTGATTTCCTCACTCCAGACCTCATGCTGACTTTGAGGACCCTTATGCTCCTGAATAACATTCGGCTCTTCAATAATAAAATATGTCCTTCAGCATTTGTATTTTTTCCTTCAGCTTTTCTTTTATGATAAGCAATGGGAAAAAGTTTTGGCTAGACACTGGAAATACACATTTTTCTAAATTTTATTTAGAACTATTATTTTTCCTTTAGTTACTAGTATTTTGAATAGTACTTTTTGGGCAATAATAATCTATCTAAAAATTTCAGGGTTACAGCTTTCTGGTAAGCTACTATGAGTGGGTAGCAAGATTTTCTAACACGTTTCACAAGGATGTTTTATGTGGCTAGCAGGAAATTCTCATTGTTCCGCTAAAAAGCTTGCAAAAAGGGAGGCAAAAATGTGAAAACCTAAATGTCACATATTTTTTCTATTTCTTGTCTCAGTATCCCTCTAGAATTTTCAGATTTATTTCTCCCAATATGCAGGACTTCAAATTAAACAATGAACATTTCACTAGAAATCTAATCTACTTTAATTCACAGGGTGCCTGAAAAGAGCACAATTTTGAAGTCAGAGAGCATTTGGTTTGATATCTGATTCCATATCTTAAGGGACAATTTAGTTGATTTTCCACTGAAAACCTGAATTTATAAAGAATGTTTACTCAAACATTTACTATGTAGAATTGAGGCAAAGGTTAAATGGATTAAATGACATATCTCATTGGATAGTAATTATAAGGTAGAAAAGGTTATTAGTTAATAACATTACTAAAATTTTAGTACAAGCTTCTCTCTTGTGTATGACATTGCTTTGGGGCCAGTATATTGCTTTCAGTTTTTGAAGAGTTAAGATTCAGAAATTTGGAGTCACAATCTAAAAACATTATCACAGGTAAGTCAGGGGTGAATAGTCAGTATATTTGAAATATTCATTATACGTATATTGTTATGAATAAAACCAGAAAAGGCGGCTAGTGTTGATGTGAACATCTACTTTAATGAGGTCTTAAGCCTTTTAGAAAAATATAATTTCTAGCCTATGCTGCATAATGATTAATGGCTATGTTGAATGTTCACTCCAGTAGTTTTACCCGTATATTTATAATTTCACTTGGTTGAAATTTACAGCTATCGTCAGTAGGTGTCTCAGGGTCAGAAAGGAAACATAAGCCTGTCATCATTATATGCCAGAGAACAGCTAGGTTAAAGGCATGCCAGCATGAGATATCAAGAGTTTTTGAGATTAGGAATTTATCTGGAGTGACATTTTTATATTATTATTTTATACTGACATATATGAAGTGATAGTAAAGTGACACCAACAGATAAACCTATCTGCATGCTTTCTTATTGAAGTACTACTTATGAGTAATGCCACCAATATTTAATGTCTGCTTTGGTCACAGTTTTAAGTCTGACAGAGGCTCTTTCAAACATAAAAAGATTCTCTTTAAGATGGAGTTCAGTTCCTCAATTTGCAAACATTCATGTTTTTACATCTCAGCTCTAGAACTTATAAGTATACTGTACTTCAAAAATAGGCTGGAGGGGTGAATTGTGAAATATGTTCAACTTGAAGCTGATCAAAGTGAGCCTAACATACAGCAGGATGGTAATTAATTTGGAAGGGGTGGAACGGGATGAAGCTTTCAGATCTATGTGTAACTTATGAATTTTATCCACATCCTTCCAAGCCTGTTTATAAGCAAGTGAATAAAGAAATTAATGTAATTATGTCAGGATGTTTTTCCCTGCTGATTTTGATTTGCTGCGCATTTACAGTAAAAACTATTAATTGAAGAAGCCTAGTGGCTAATGTTATGCATAAAAATAGATTTATTTCTCATATCACTCTGTGTATATTTATTCCCTGGCATTTAAAAGAAAATATATTCTGGAGAAATTAAAGACATTTTGTTTTAAAAATGTTTTATAACGACTACTGGTGAGAATGAAATGATTTTTAACAATTTCTTCATAGGTTTTAAATTCTATTTATTAAGCTATGTTGCAACTGAAAGATTGGCCCTATATATACTTTTTAAGAGGTTTAACATGTTGAAGATGAGGATTTGGACATGTAAAGTATAATCAGTGTCAAAATTTCACATAACAAAATGTAGGAAAGAGAGCAAATGAATAATGAAAAATAGCATTTTTAATGTGTAAATTAAGGTAGAAATACCAAATACAAACTAAATTACTGCATTTTACTGTACTTAGTTACTGATGTTTTATATTTTGGTGCATATCTTCCTATTACTTATTTTGTTAAATTTCTTTGTTCTGCTTCTGTCTCATTTATCTATCTCTATAAGTCTCAGGTCATACTACATTTAGGTTTCTATATTCTTTAATTTAAATATGTTATATCTTGTAACCCTATTTCTGTGCTAATACATTATTTTTGAAATATGTAGTTTTAATAAAAATAGATATATATCATTATATTTAACTTTGTGCAAAGCATAGAAAGCATTGTGCAAATTGCATACCAAAGTTTTTTTTAAAATTGTGCAAATTGTTGTTTAGATCCTCAGGATCAATTTCTACATTTAAAATGGCTAAATTAAGGCATGGATATAATGTCCCTAAAAACTGTAGGCTTCTTTGTATTTCATCCACAGTCTGCAAGAATTTTCATTTTATCACGTTGTTATACTTAACATTTATTTTAAGCTTTAACAATTTGATAGCATAAAAATAGTATAATTTTAATATTTTTAGTAAGACAGAGCACAAAATACTATTCTTAAGTGTTACTCTTGTTCAGAATTGCCTTTTAATATAATTTGCTTATCACTTTATTATGCCTTTTAAAGGGTATATCTATGATTGACAGCAATATAAACACATAATTTACAAGTTCTATGAAGAACTTCAGAGAATTAGCTGTTAGGCTGGAAATACTATTATCTAATTCATTTGTGTGTTAGGGTTTTCCAGAGAAATGGAACCAGTAGAATATATGCAGTGTGTGTGTCTGTGTGTGTGTGTGTGTGTAAGATAAAAATGAATAGTTTTAAAGTATACTTTCACATTATAGAAAGTAGTCTTCTCTCTCCCATTTCACAGAAACAAATATTGAAGGTATTCATCAAATTCCTCTTCCTGAGGTTTTTCTTCTGTTTTTGATAGTTGGATTTTCTAAAGTTCAGATTCTGAAGTGCTTTCTTATCAGAGTTTTTATTTACATAATATTTTGATTTCTTTGGAGAAAAATGTAGTTTATTATTTTTCTTGGAGGTCTCTCAGATAATTCAGATAATAATCTGAATTCTATATGTGATGAATCTTCACAGTCTTTTTTCAGTTTTTTTCTTCCATTCCCATAATGCTCATGGACTCAGAGGAATGCTTTCCTATAAAAGCAGTAAGAACAGAGTAATTTTCCCCTGTATTAAAAAGAAATGGAATTTGGGTGCCCAGGATGTCCAGAGTTATCTAGGACTCCTCAATAGTAATGATGATGTTCCTGGACAGGGGTGGTGAGGAAGGCCCCAGGTCTCTTCAGACTTCATCTAATTTCTTCTTTTGTACTTCTAGAATTTGGACTGACTGAACCCCTCAGTGGGAGTGGGGACACTCAATTCTCCAGCGTAAGGGGTTGTGACTGCTGCCTTCGCATTGATGGCAGGGACCTGGTGGAGATTTAGTATAGTCCTTTGCCCAGCGCCCAATTTTCTTGCAATTGAACCAAGAGCCTTTGCTAGCATTATCATTATGGCCCTCTGAGTTTCCCTTGAATGCTCTTTGGGCATTCAGGACATCAGCAATGATGGCTGACATAATTTTGGCTTGCCAGTTTTCTTTATTCTGTTTCCTTTTTTCTCCCTCCAGGTCACAATTGTTATACACCATAAGGTGGTATCAAGAAGCTGCTCTTGAAGTATTATAATTTACTGCCCATCTGTAGCTTTTGGTGCTGATGTCTAATGTCTATGGTGGATTGGCTAATAAAATGCTGTGCCATTAATATTTTGCCTTTGGAAGAGGAAGGGTCCAGGTTGTGTGTGTGTGTGTGTGTGTGTGTGTATTCGAGATGGAGTCTTGCTCTGTCACCCAGGATGGAGTGCAGTGGTTTCATCTCAACTCACTGCAACCTCTGCCTCCAAGGTTCAAGCGATTATCCAGTCTCAGCCCCCCAAGACGCTGGGATTACAGGAGCCTGCCACCGTGCCCAGCTAATTTCTGTGTTTTTAGGAGACACAGGGTTTCATCATGTTGGCCAGGCTGGTCTCCAACTCCTAACCTCAAGAGGAGTGCCTTGGCCTCCCAAAGTGCTGGGATTACAGGTGTGAGCCACCTGCCTGGCCCAGATTGGTACCTTTTTTAAATGCTTCCTCCAACCTGCCATAAAACATGGTTGTATTTTCCTTCTTGCCTTGTGTAACCTCCTTACTTTATCACAATTTACTGCCTTAGTTATTCCCTTTTTCATTCCTCCAAGGAGAGTCTCAAAAAATTAAGCCCAGTTAGTTGTTCATTCCCATGGGGGTGTCAGAGTCCCAATTAGGATCAGTAGCAGGAACTGCGTCTGGGCCTATATGATTGCCCTGAGGGTTTTGGACAAATAAGTCATCTGCTTCCCAGCAAATCACCTCAAAGTTTCATTCCTTTTCCAAGGGAAGGGGGGTGCCACAGGTTGCTAGAATGAATTGAACATCTCTTGATGAGAGATTAAAGGCTAAGGTCAAAGTTTAGAACTCATCTACAAATTTCCTGGGGTTCTCAGCATACCTTACTAGCTTTTCTTTACACTGTTGTATGTCAGTTATAGAGAAGAGGGCCTGCACTCAGACTGGCCTCTCAGCTCCTGCTACTTTCCTAAGGGATAGCAGGGCTAAAGGGGTACTTAAATAGGGTGTTTCCCTCTGAATGTGAGAAGAACTTTGCAGGCTTCTTGGTTTTTGCTCTTGGGTTTGAGCCTCAGGAACACTTGGCAAAGGGTTATGTGAGGGTGGTTGCTGTTCCCCCTGAGAGACACACAGCTCTTGTAAAGTGAGGTCATCTACAACATCTAGTTCTGACTTAGGACTTTCATTTGGGGGACTTTCATTTCTGGGAGTTTTGCAGATTGTTGGGTTTTGGAATAGGGTAATGAAGGCCTGTATACATGGGATTTCTGATCATTTATCCTGCCTTTTGGAAAATAGGTCTAATTGCGGGATGGTGTTATAATTAAGGCTACCATTGACCACCCATTGCTTGTGACTGTTCAACTGATATTGGGGCCATACGGTATATGCAGTAAAACATCAAATTTTTTTTCCTTATATTGTCAGGGTCAAATTGATTCCAGTGGTTCAGGATGAAGCCACATAGGGAATAAAGTGGAATGGATGGTTGCCCATAATAGTCTGGAAGAAGAGGACTTTGAAAAATGGAGGGCTTATTAGATTACCCAAATTTTACCTGGGGCATCCCTCTGGAAAAACTCTGGGTCTTGTCTGCGGTCTCTAGGGGCATCCTGGGCCCCATCTTCTCAGACATCTTTGACCTTAGATGGGTGACAGCACCACTTTGGAATGGTTCTCTCCACCACTGATGACCCACCAGAGCTTTCTTTCTTGTCCTTGGATGAAGGCCTTGACTTCTAGCATCCTTATAGTTTGGTAAGGCCATGCTTTCCATTTTAACTTTATCCAATATGTTCACAGGCAGAATCTCTTCTACAATTAATTTTCATAAACCTATAACTTGTTCAAACCTTTGGATTTTCCCATCTTACTTAAAACAGTTCTTTAACCCTCTAAACTTAGGCAAGATAAATGTCATCAAAAAAGACAACTGCATGCTTCTTTTTAAGATTATTGCTTTATATGGTACAATTTTTGGAAACTTCTGCCACCATCTTGTTATCAACCCAAGGATGAAACATTTAACCTAGAGTAAGGTTGATCAAGGGACTCACTGGGAAATAGAGCCAGACTGTGAACTGTATTAAACTCAAGGGACCTTCTACCTATGAATTTCTTGTCGTATGAAATACTAAGTTTCCCTATCTTTATGCTAGTTAGAATCAAGGATTTTTCTATTTTTGAATCCAAACACTTCTTTATTTTATTTATTTTATTTATTTATTTATTTATTTATTTATTTGGTATGCCTTTTTTTTGTTTTGTTTTGTTTTTTATTATACTTTAAGTTTTAGGGTACATGTGCACATAGTGCAGGTTAGTTACATATGTATACATGTGCCATGCTGGTGCGCTGCACCCACTAACTCGTCATCTAGCATTAGGTATATCTCCCAATGCTATCCCTCCCCCCTCCCACCACCGCACCACAGTCCCCAGAGTGTGATATTCCCCTTCCTGTGTCCATGTGATCTCATTGTTCAGTTCCCACCTAAGAGTGAGAATATGCGGTGTTTGGTTTTTTGATCTTGCGATAGTTTACTGAGAATGATGATTTCCAATTTCATCCATGTCCCTACAAAGGACATGAACTCATCATTTTCTATGGCTGCATAGTATTCCATGGTGTATATGTGCCACATTTTCTTAATCCAGTCTATCATTGTTGGACATTTGGGTTGGTTCCAAGTCTTTGCTATTGTGAATAATGCCGCAATAAACATACGTGTGCATGTGTCTTTAGAGCAGCATGATTCATAGTCATTTGGGTATATACCCACTAATGGGATGGCTGGGTCAAATGGTAATTCTAGTTCTAGATCCCTGAGGAATCGCCACACTGACTTCCACAATGGTTGAACTAGTTTACAGTCCCACCAACAGTGTAAAAGTGTTCCTATTTCTCCACATCCTCTCCAGCACCTGTTGTTTCCTGACTTTTTAATGATTGCCATTCTAACTGGTATGAGATGGTATCTCATAATGGTTTTGATTTGCATTTCTCTCATGGCCAGTGATGATGAGCATTTTTTCATGTGTTTTTTGGCTCCATAAATGTCTTCTTTTGAGAAGTGTCTGTTCATGTCCTTCGCCCACTTTTTGATGGGGTTGTTTGTTTTTTTCTTGTAATTTGTTTGAGTTCACTGTAGATTCTGGATATTAGCCCTTTGTCAGATGAGTAGGTTGCGAAAATCTTCTCCCATTTTGTAGGTTGCCTGTTCACTCTGATGGTAGTTTGTTTTGCTGTGCAGAAGCTCTTTAGTTTAATTAGATCCCATTTGTCAATTTTGGCTTTTGTTGCCATTGCTTTTGGTGTTTTGGACATGAAGTCCTTGCCCATGCCTATGTCCTGAATGGTAATGCCTAGGTTTTCTTCTAGGGTTTTTAAGGTTTTAGGTCTAACGTTTAAGCCTTTAATCCATCTTGAATTGATTTTTGTATAAGGTGTAAGGAAGGGATCCAGTTTCAGCTTCCTACATATGGCTAGCCAGTTTTCCCAGCACCATTTATTAAATAGGGAATCCTTTCCCCATTGCTTGTTTTTCTCAGGTTTGTCAAAGATCAGATAGTTGTAGGTATGCGGCATTATTTCTGAGGGCTCTGTTCTGTTCCATTGATCTATATCTCTGTTTTGGTACCAGTACCATGCTGTTTTGGTTACTGTAGCCTTGTAGTATAGTTTGAAGTCAGGTAGTGTGATTCCTCCAGCTTTGTTCTTTTGGCTTAGGATTGACTTGGCAATGCGGGCTCTTTTTTGGTTCCATATGAACTTTAAAGTAGTTTTTTCCAATTCTGTGAAGAAAGTCATTGGTAGCTTGATGGGATGGCATTGAATCTGTAAATCACCTTGGGCAGTATGGCCATTTTCACGATATTGATTCTTCCTACCCATGAGCATGGAATGTTCTTCCATTTGTTTGTATCCTCTTTTATTTCCTTGAGCAGTGGTTTGTAGTTCTCCCTGAAGAGGTGCTTCACATCCCTTGTAAGTTGGATTCCTAGGTATTTTATTCTCTTTGAAGCAATTGTGAATGGGAGTTCACTCATGATTTGGCTCTCTGTTTGTCTGTTGTTGGTGTATAAGAATGCTTGTGATTTTTGTACATTGATTTTGTATCCTGAGACTTTGCTGAAGTTGCTTATCAGCTTAAGGAGATTTTGGGCTGAGACAATGGGGTTTTCTAGATATATAATCATGTCGTCTGCAAACAGGGACAATTTGACTTCCTCTTTTCCTAATTGAATACCCTTTATTTCCTTCTCCTGCCTAATTGCCCTGGCCAGAACTTCCAACACTATGTTGAATAGGAGTGGTGAGAGAGGGCATCCCTGTCTTGTGCCAGTTTTCAAAGGGAATGCTTCCAGTTTTTGCCCATTCAGTATGATATTGCCTGTGGGTTTGTCATAGATAGCTCTTATTATTTTGAAATACGTCCCATCAATACCTAATTTATTGAGAGTTTTTAGCATGAAGGGTTGTTGAATTTTGTCAAAGGCTTTTTCTGCATCTATTGAGATAATCATGTGGTTTTTGTCTTTGGTTCTGTTTATATGCTGGATTACATTTATTGATTTGCGCATATTTGAACCAGCCTTGCATCCCAGGGATGAAGCCCACTTGATCATGGTGGATAAGCTTTTTGATGTGCTGCTGGATTCGGTTTGCCAGTATTTTATTGAGGATTTTTGCATCAATGTTCATCAAGGATATTGGTCTAAAATTCTCTTTTTTGGTTGTGTCTCTGCCCGGCTTTGGTATCAGAATGATGCTGGCCTCATAAAATGAGTTAGGGAGGATTCCCTCTTTTTCTATTGATTGGAATAGTTACAGAAGGAATGGCACCAGTTCCTCCTTGTACCTCTGGTAGAATTCGGCTGTGAATCCATCTGGTCCTGGACTCTTTTTGGTTGGTAAACTATTGATTATTGCCACAATTTCAGCTCCTGTTATTGGTCTATTCAGAGATTCAACTTCTTCCTGGTTTAGTCTTGGGAGAGTGTATGTGTTGAGGAATTTATCCATTTCTTCTAGATTTTCTAGTTTATTTGTGTAGAGGTGCTTGTAGTATTCTCTGATGGTAGTCTGTATTTCTGTGGGATCGGTGGTGATATCCCCTTTATAATTTTTTATTGTGTCTATTTGATTCTTCTCTCTTTTTTTCTTTATTAGTCTTGCTAGCGGTCTATCAATTTTTTTGATCCTTTCAAAAAACCAGCTCCTGGATTCATTGAATTTTTGAAGGGTTTTTTGTGTCTCTATTTCCTTCAGTTCTGCTCTGATTTTAGTTATTTCTTGCCTTCTGCTAGCTTTTGAATGTGTTTGCTCTTGCTTTTCTAGTTCTTTTAATTGTGATGTTAGGGTGTCAATTTTGGATCTTTCCTGCTTTCTCTTGTGGGCATTTAGTGCTATAAATTTCCCTCTACACACTGCTTTGAATGTGTCCCAGAGATTCTGGTATGTTGTGTCTTTGTTCTCGTTGGTTTCAAAGAACATCTTTATTTCTGCCTTCATTTCATTATGTACCCAGTAGTCATTCAGGAGCAGGTTGTTCAGTTTCCATGTAGTTGTGCAGCTTTGAGTGGGATTCTTAATCCTGAGTTCTAGTTTGATTGCATTGTGGTCTGAGAGATAGTTTGTTATAATTTCTGTTCTTTTACATTTGCTGAGGAGAGCTTTACTTCCAAGTATGTGGTCAATTTTGGAATAGGTGTGGTGTGGTGCTGAAAAAAATGTATATTCTGTTGATTTGGGGTGGAGAGTTCTGTAGATGTCTATTAGGTCTGCTTGGTGCAGAGCTGAGTTCAATTCCTGGGTATCCTTGTTGACTTTCTGTCTCGTTGATCCATCTAATGTTGACAGTGGGGTGTTAAAGTCTCCCATTATTAATGTGTGGGAGTCTAAGTCTCTTTGCAGGTCACTCAGGACTTGCTTTATGAATCTGGGTGCTCCCATATTGGGTGTATATATATTTAGGATAGTTAGCTCTTCTTGTTGAATTGATCCCTTTACCATTATGTAATGGCCTTCTTTGTCTCTTTTGATCTTTGTTGGTTTCAAGTCTGTTTTATCAGAGACTAGGATTGCAACCCCTGCCTTTTTTTGTTTTCCATTTGCTTGGTAGATCTTCCTCCATCCTTTTATTTTGAGCCTATGTGTGTCTCTGCACGTGAGATGGGTTTCCTGAATACAGCACACTGATGGATCTTGACTCTTTATCCAATTTGCCAGTCTGTGTCTTTTAATTGGAGAATTTAGTCCATTTATATTTAAAGTTAATATTGTTATGTGTGAATTTGATCCTGTCATTATGATGTTAGCTGGTGATTTTGCTCGTTAGTTGATGCAGTTTCTTCCTAGTCTTGATGGTCTTTACATTTTGGCATGATTTTGCAGCGGCTGGTACTGGTTGTTCCTTTCCATGTTTAGCACTTCCTTCAGGAGCTCTTTTAGGGCAGGCCTAGTGGTGACAAAATCGGTCAGCATTTGCTTGTCTGTAAAGTATTTTATTTCTCCTTCACTTATGAAGCTTAGTTTGGCTGGATATGAAATTCTGGGTTGAAAATTCTTTTCTTTAAGAATGTTGAATATTGGCCCCCACTCTCTTCTGGCTTGTAGGGTTTCTGCCGAGTGATCCACTGTTAGTCTGATGGGCTTCCCTTTGAGGGTAACCCGACCTTTCTCTCTGGCTGCCCTTAACATTTTTTCCTTCATTTCAACTTTGGTGAATCTGACAATTATGTGTCTTGGAGTTGCTCTTCTCGAGGAGTATCTTTGTGGCGTTCTCTGTATTTCCTGAATCTGAACGTTGGCCTGCCTTGCTAGATTGGGGAAGTTCTCCTGGATAATACCCTGCAGAGTGTTTTCCAACTTGGTTCCATTCTCCCCATCACTTTCAGGTACACCAATCAGATGTAGATTTGGTCTTTTCACATAGTCCCATATTTCTTGGAGGCTTTGCTCATTTCTTTTTATTCTTTTTTCTCTAAACTTCCCTTCTTGCTTCATTTTCATTCATTTCATCTTCCATTGCTGATACCCTTTCTTCCAGTTGATCGCATCGGCTCCTGAGGCTTCTGCATTCTTCACGTAGTTCTCGAGCCTTGGTTTTCAGTTCCATCAGCTCCTTTAAGCACTTCTCTGTATTGGTTATTCTAGTTATACATTCTTCTAAATTTTTTTCAAAGTTTTCAACTTCTTTGCCTTTGGTTTGAATGTCCTCCCGTAGCTCAGAGTAATTTGATCGTCTGAAGCCTTCTTCTCTCAGCTCGTCAAAGTCATTCTCCATCCAGCTTTGTTCTGTTGCTGGTGAGGAACTGCGTTCCTTTGGAGGAGGAGAGACGCTCTGCATTTTAGAGTTTCCAGTTTTTCTGTTCTGTTTTTTCCCCATCTTTGTGATTTTATCTAGTTTTGGTCTTTGATGATGGTGATGTACAGATGGGTTTTCGGTGTGGATGTCCTTTCTGTTTGTTAGTTTTCCTTCTAACAGACAGGACCCTCAGCTGCAGGTCTATTGGAATACCCTGCTGTGTGAGGTGTCAGTGTGCCCCTGCTGGAGGGTGCCTCCCAGTTAGGCTGCTCGGGGGTCAGGGGTCAGGGACCCACTTGAGGAGGCAGTCTGCCGGTTCTCAGATCTCCAGCTGCGTGCTGGGAGAACCACTGCTCTCTTCAAAGCTGTCAGACAGGGACATTTAAGTCTGCAGAGGTTACTGCTGTCTTTTTGTTTGTCTGTGCCCTGCCCCCAGAGGTGGAGCCTACAGAGGCAGGCAGGCCTCCTTGAGCTGTGGTGGGCTCCACCCAGTTGGAGCTTCCCTGCTGCTTTGTTTACCTAAGCAAGCCTGGGCAATGGCAGGCGCCCCTCCCCCAGCCTTGCTGCCGCCTTGCAGTTTGATCTCAGACTGCTGTGTTAGCAATCAGCGAGATTCCGTGGGCGTAGGACCCTTCAAGCCAGGTGTGGGATATAGTCTCGTGGTGCGCCGTTTTTTAAGCCGGTCTGAAAAGCGCAATATTCGGGTGGGAGTGACCCGATTTTCCAGGTGTGTCCGTCACCCCTTTCTTTGACTCGGAAAGGGAACTCCCTGACCCCTTGCACTTCCCAGGTGAGGCAATGCCTCGCCCTGCTTCGGCTCGCGCATGGTGCGCGCACCCACTGGCCGGTGCCCACTGTCTGGCACTCCCTACTGAGATGCACCCGGTACCTCAGATGGAAATGCAGAAATCACCCGTCTTGGTCGCTCACGCTGGGAGCTGTAGACCGGAGCTGTTCCTATTCGGCCATCTTGGCTCCTCCCCCGAATGCAAACACTTCTTAACTAATAAGCTACTTTGTTTACATTTTTTGTTTTGCAATCTGATATTATTAAACTGTTTTATCAGTTCTAAGACATTTAAATTTCTTACGGTTTTAAGCATGTCATCTGAAAACAATTATAAGCTCCAACATGTAATGAGCTTTGAAGTCATTACTCCATTCCTTACAGCAAGAAAAAAGGTTAAAAAAGAAAAACTAAAATCAACAGCTATTTTTGAACTCAACAGAGCTGAGTTTGCAGAGCAATCTAGCACCCTGAAGTATGAGAGGACAGATAAATCTAGATAAACACATTGTAGATCTACTGACCTGGAGACGAAGTTGCTGGATTCAGAAATACATGAGTGGTAATTTTGACAAGTTCCTGGAGGCTAAATTAACTGGTGTTAGAGTGAGAAAGAATATTTAAAAACAAATGGTTTATGTAAGCAGAGAGATGGAAACTCTAAGAAAGAGTCAAAATGCAGTGCCAGAAGTCAAAACACTGTAGCAGAAATAAAGGATATCACTGATGGGATCATCAAAAGACTAGTACAGCCCAGAAAAGAATCAGTGAGCTCAAAGATATGTTAACAGAAATTTCCAAAATGTAAATGCAAGACAAAAAAGTAATAAGAACATTAAAACAGAACATAGTATTGATGATCTGTGGGGTAATTATAAAAAGTAACATATCTTAATTGGCAAAAGAGAAGAGAAATAAAGAACAGAATAAAATAATTATTTGAAGTAATAATGGCGGAGAACATTCCAAAATTGACAGATACCAAAAACCAAAAACAAAACCAAGGACAAACAAAACAAAAGAAACAAAAATAAACCTACAAGAAGCTCAGAGAACATTTACCAGAATAATAAAAAATTACACCTAGACATATTATATTCAAACTGAAGAAAACCAAATACAAAGAGAAATATCTTCAAAGGAGCTAGGAAATAAATATACCTTACCCATAGTGGAACAAAGATACAATTGTATCAGACTTCTCATAAACTAGGCAGGCAAGAAGAGTGGAATGGAACACAGAAAGTGATGAAAGAAAAAAAAATCTAGTATCCTTGAATCCAGCAAAATTACCTTTCAAAAGTGAAGGAGAAATAAAGACTTTGTTAGACAAACAAGAACTGAGGGAAATCATCACCAGCAGACATTATTGCCTTGCAGTAAATGTTAAAAGAAGTTCCTCAGGAGGAAAGAAAGTGATATAGATCAGAAACTTGGATATAAATTTAAAAAGAAAGAGTTTTGGAGAAGGAACAGATGAAGGTAAAATTAAATCTTTCATTATTTTTATTCATAATATAAAAGAGAACTGCTTAAGATAATAATAATAATATATTGGGTGATTATAGCACATTAATAAGTGAAATCAATGACAGCAATGTCACGAGAGGGAAGACAGAAATTGAGAATACTCAGTTATAAGATACCTGTACTGTGTACTCATGAAGTGATACAGTATTATTGAGGTAGACTTGAGTAGTTAAAAAGGCATTGTTACAAACTCTAGCTCAACCTTCATATGTTTTAAGATATGTATAGTTAATATGTTATGAGAGAGGATAAAATAGAATCATAAAATTCTTAATTAAAATTAGTGAATTCAGAAAAACAGAAGAAAAAACAGAGTACGATAAATAGAAAACAGTTACAAGCATGATAATAAAGCAACTATATCACTAATTACTTTAAATATGTAAATATGAATGATCAAATTGTACCAAGTAAAGGACAGAGACTGTTAGACTGGATTTAAAAACAAACAAACAAACAAACAAATAAAAAAAAAATCCCAAAGGCCCAATTATATGTTATCTGCAAGAAATCCACTTTAAGAATAGACTCAGATTGGTTAGACGTAAAGGGTCAATATACCATGCTAAGGCAAATCAAAACACAACTAGAATAGTTATATTAATTTAGAAAACAAAATGACTTCAGAGGACTGAAACTTATCAGGAATAAAGAGGGGTTAGTGCTCTCAAAGACATAACAATTATTAATGACTATGCACCTAACAATGTACCATTAGAAATCACACCACTTCAGGCCAGGCGCAGTGGCTCACTCCTGTAATCCTAGCTCTCAGGGAGGCAGAGGCGGGAGGATAGCTTAAGGCCAGGAGTTCGAGACCTGCCTGGGCCATATAGCAAGACTCCGTTCTCCACAAAAGGCGGGGGGGGGAGACCAAAATAATAAAAAAAAAGGAAAAAGAAAGAAATCACGCCACTGCACTCCAGCCTGGGCAAGCGAGCAAGACTTTGTCTCAGAAAGAAAGAAAAAAAAAGAGAAAGAAAGAAAAAGAAATGAAAAGAAAAAATAGCAAGAATTACTTATTATGAAAGTTTCCTTGAATTCAATATAAGAATACAAGAACTTGAAAAACTATCGATATTCTACTAGTAGTTGTAATGGAGCAGAATAAAATTAGACATGACTATGGTTAATAACTAACATTTTATGTCTCAATCAGTATCAATATGCATCCAAATGTCTTGATACTTTTAGTTCCCTCTAGGCAAGGAACTTACCAATTATTTGAAAAATTTCATAACATAAAATACATGAGGGATTGAATGCAAGTTTTTCCATGCACACATCGACATTCATCTATGTGTCACTATGGAGTACTTGTTAAACAAATGCTATTTGGCCTAATGGAATAGATGTTAATATTAACAAAGGGTTGACTTGGACTGGAAAGTCAGGAATGGAAAAAGAGGGATAAAAGACCTTGCATTTTGAAGACAGGGGACTAAAGTAGAAGGATGCGGCCTCAAACTCTCTTGAGTACAATTGACTTGGACATATTTAAACCTCTTAGGACAGTATTTGAGTAATTTTTCAACTTTGATGAGATGACAGTGCAGAGAAAAAGTTTACTTTATCAACATAGAATAATTATTTTTTTTAATTTTAATTTATTTTAAAGAGATGAGGTCTTATTCTGTCAACCAGGCTGGAGTGCAGTGGTGTGATCATAGCTCACTGCAGCCCTCAACTCCTGGGCTCAAGCAATTATCCCACCTCAGCCACCTGAGTAGCTAGGACTACAGACATGTGCCACTATGCTTGGCTAATCTTTTGAAAACTTTTGTGTAAAGTTGGGGTCTCGCTATGCTGCCCAGGCTGGTCTCAAACTCCTGGAGTCAAGCGATCCTCTCACCTTGGCATCTCAAAGCACTGGGATTACAGGCATGAGCCATCATGCCCTGCCAATAATTATTCTTTAAGTCAATTAGTGGTGAACATAACCCCAGTGCTATAATAAGATGTGTTCATATTTTTTTATAAATAAAATGGGAACAAACCTTAGCTTCTAAGAAAAAGAGAGAAAATTATATATTTTCCAAACAAAAATTGCCTCCCCCCAACTGGTTTCCACTTCCAAATTTTTTCATGAATTGAACAAAGATACATTCTATCGAATATTTTTGTTTGGGGGATACTATTATCTCTATTTGATACTTTAAGATTATTACAGAAAGTTTTATCTCTAATTTTCCTAAAAGATACAAGATAAAGAAACTTTTCAGATGTTTCATGTGTTCAGGAATCTGAAAGTAACAAATACATTTTAAATTATTGTATTAAAGCTTTATTATAATACAAAGCTTATTATTATACAAGCTTATAAGCTTTAATATATTATACTATTACAGACTTTTAAATTTATACTTACACAAATAAAGCTGAGAATAGTGAAATATTACTTCATATTTAAAAACTTATTAACTATAAAATGTTTTAGGGAAATAAAAATTTATTTTGTGTTACCTATTTTGGCTTAATAAAGTGAAATAATTTTGAATGTATTTACTGATGCAATCATATTAGAAATTTTAAAAATAAAATATGAATTGTAATGAATATTAATGTTAATTATATCTTATCACCCACTAAATTTTGGTTGATGAACTGAAAGGATATATTTAAATATTGTCTTTCTTGGAGGATTAGAAAGAATGCAGTTGTTGACATTAAATCAGATGCAAATTTAATATCTTAGAATGTATTTTCTAGAGTAGCAGAGTCAGAAATTTGTATTCATGATTACCTATAAGGTTTCTAAAAAAGTAATACACAAAATGTTTTCCCCAGGACAGATACATATTCCTTAAGAATTACAAGTATTAAGAGAATTAAAATAATTACAAGAATTGTGAGTATTACAATTATCCCATACAAACTTCTTACTATTTTGTTAACTGTAACATTAATTTGAAATATATATTTTTCTAATTTTACTATTACAAAATAACTATTAAGTTTATTTTTGAGAGATGAACATTCACTGAAAGTATGAGACATTTTATGTATAAATTGCATACAGTTAATCATCTGCAATCTAGTCTGTAGTTAAAGGACAATTATGAAACATTTCTGAGTGCTAATTTTAACTTTTAAGTACAATCACCAACTTTAGAAATAAGTCAATGTAAGAAATCAGTCAGAAAATGTCTTTTCATTTTTCTGGTTATCAATATTTTTTGCATCATTACTGTGAAAATAATAGTGATTTTAAAAGATATTATTATTGTTATAATAAAAATTCAGATAACATTCACAAGTACTAAATAAGCATGATTTAAATAGACATAATATATTTCAGGATGAAGCTAAATTTAAATGGTAAAGAGATGAATGATTTAAGTATCTCCCAAATATGTCTCTTAGGTTACCTTGTGTGACAAGGAAAATGAAGAAGAGAAAGATAAAGATAAAGAGAAGAAATCCCACATTTGCACACAGAGATTAAAATATTTTAGAATTGTTTGAAGCTTTACTGAGTTTTCCAGATAAAAGTTTACCAAAGAATCTTTGAAATGCTACATAAGTGCTTAGGAAAATAAGATGACTATAGTGACAAATAAATGCAATGAATGCAATAATGAACAAATGAAAGGAAGAACATATATAGAGAGAAGATAAGAAAACAAAACACAGTCTTTTGAGGTATGAGAAAAACATAAGCACATAAATAAACCAAAGAAGTAAAGCTCTCGGGTATTACAATGTTCTAGGATCTGGAAAAACAGAAGATTTTTACAAAGAGCATATGGTGAAACTATAAAAAACTTTGGAAAAGGATGAACAAGGCAACTGGTTTCAAATTTTTGGGATAATGGATGTTTTTAAAAATATATAGATTTCAATAGTTGTGGGGTTAAGGGTATAAAGTAGAATGAAGAAACTGAAGAAACAGAAATGCAGATTATTCCTAAAGGATTGGCAATAAAATAAGAGAGTACATTTAAAGAAAATTATAGCTGAATTAGGAGAGTTTGAACACATTTATAAACATAAATAAATAAATAAATACCAAAAGGAGTAAAAAACAAAAGGAATACTGAAGATCTAACAGAGAAAAGTCATTGTGGAGACAAATGAGAAGACACAAGGGTGGATGAGAACTAAGAGGACAGTACCACTTTCTCCAAAAAAAAAGGTGGAAAGTAGTAGAGAACTTACAGAGTATTTGTACATGGAGAACACTCTTTGCAATAAGAATAGAAACATTCTCATGAGGCTAAAGTAGTAGACAAAAAGTTTTGCCATGAATTAATGGAAGTCAGATGAAATTACCTTGCATTTGTTATAGTTCTTATCTCTGCATTTTGGGAGGATTGTAGTATGCTGGAGGAGATAATAGTGGATTGATTTAACTTAAGAATACTGATATGTACAAGCTAGTGATTCCAGCATTTACTTTTACTCAACATTTTATGTAATGACTCCAGCTGCAACTAGAATGCCACTATACTGCAAATATTTGGTGTCCTCCCACAATCTCCTTTACCTGATTGGGATACTCATTCTCTAGTTGTTGTGAGGGTTGCCTTCTAATGCCCTCCTTCTCTAGAGAATTCCTCTTAGCAAATGGGAGACCCCTTCCCCAGAAGGTTGTATCCCACCTATCCACCAGAGAGTGAGCGCCCCATAACTAACCATCTCGGTGTACAAAAGGGTGGCATCCTTTCCTCAGGGGAAAGGGGCGGGTGCAACTCTGTAGTGCAACTTGTGCTTCAGATCTCTCTAGAGGACCAGGTTGAAGTTAATCTATTCAACTGGGACTACATCCATGCTTAGTTCTCTTTTACTGCCTTATTTGGCTTTTTCAATTTTTGTTTCTCCCTGTCTCTCTGATGACAGCTCCCTGAGCAAATCACTTTTACAAGAATTCTTGCCTCAGATTCGGTTTATAGAAAACCCTAATTGAGGCCAGGCGCAGTGGCTCATGCCTGTAATCCCCCAGCACTTTGTAAGGCCGAGACTGGTGGATCGCCTGAGGTCAGGAATTTGAGACCCGCCTGATCAACGTAGTAAAACCCCGTCTCTACTAAAAGTACAAAAATTACACGGGCATGGTGGCACACGCCTGTAGTCCCTGCTACTCGGGGGGCTGAGGCAGGAGAATTGCTTGAACGTGGGAGACGAAGGTTGCAGTGAGCCCAGATGGCGCCATTGCACTCCAGCCTGGGCAACAGAGGGAGACTACATCTAAAAATAAATAAATAAATAAACAAACAAATAAATACCCTAATTAAAAACGCTTCAGGTGACTTGTAGAGATAAAATTTATAACATTAATTCAATCTGTGTTCTATTCTGATCTTGAACAAGTAGCATAACTTATCTATATCTGCTTTCATTGTTAAGAAAGAGGCTAATTAGTTTTATTTTCAAACATATACCAAATGCAGAGCCATTTATCAATTTGGTGTTTGAAAAAGTAAAATATCCATAATCACCAATGTAATTTAAGCAGATAAATATCAATGAAAGCACCTGAAGAATCTATTCTTTGGTTCCTCATACCTATGCCCCAAGAATTCTTTTGCACATCAAATTGCACTACCCCAAATTTCCTTTTAGAATTCACTCATCCTGTATCTTTACAAATCTCTCTATAGTTAAAGAAAGTGTTAATGAAAAGTAGTAGAAGATTTGAATGATAATGGTGTTTTGTAATCCCATGGTTCATTATAAACAATGACTTTTCAACTATTGCCTTTTTTCTTTGAAAGGCGAGGATATTAGTAATTTCACACTTCTTTCTATATATGCTCTTTATCAGCTTCTGATCTTTGAAAACTACAGTGTAATTTGTATATTATAAGCATCTATTATATTCAATTATATTTTCTAACTTTAATTCTAATCTTTATCACTGTTCTCATATTTAAGTGAACCCAAATCTCACAGTGTTTTTTTTTTCCACATATCTCATTCCTGAGACCTCTTTGCCTTTGTCCTCTCCATAACTGACTGGATAATTATTGTTAACCAATTTTCTTCAAGAAGCACTGGTAGGTATTATCTATCCTAAATTTGTACATATTCAAGGATATTTGGCTATTGGATTCATGTTTTAGTAACATATTATCTACTTACATAACAAAATTTGTTAAAATATATCAAACCTAGGGCAATGTGAAAATTTGAAAATTATAACTTTATGGCTGAATGAATTTGCACAATTTGAGCACTTCTATATAATCATTATCCAGATGAAGAAAAAGATCTTTAACAATCCAGAAGCCCCTCCTACACCCTACAATCAATAACCGTAACTTTCTTTCTGAAGATAAACACAATCGATTTAAAACACTATAGTTTTGCTTATTTTTGAATATTTTAAAACTGGAATCTTATGTCAGGTACTTTTTTGTGTCTATTTTGTTCTCAATATTATGTTTGTGAGATCTTCCCATACTGTTCATACAACAAATTTATTCTTTTTCTTTGCTCTACAGTGTTCCATTGCACGAACATAATATAATTTAGTTAGCCATGCAACTGTCTTTGACTTTGTGTTGTTACCAGTTTGAGCTATTATGAATTGTGCAGCCAGAAATATTTTTGTATATGTCTTTTAGCAAACATGTGTAAACATTTCCATTGAGCAAGAGAAATGTTTGGTCATAGAGTATATGTAATATCCAGCTTTAGTTGATATGACTAAATAGTTTTCAAAATGGTCAAACCAATTTACTCTTACTTACATTGTATCTGAATTCAAAATTTAAAGTCTTTTTATTTTAGCAATTCTTGTAAGAGTACAACGATGTTTAATTCTGTTTTTCATTTGTATTTACCTGATGTCTAATAAAATTTAGAAATCTTTTATATATTTATTGCATATCTTCTGTGAACTGCTCCTTTAGTAGTATTTTTCCCATTTTTAAAATTGTTTTTTTTTGTAATGACTTCTAGGAATTTATTTTTATATTTTCTGGATATAAGTTGTTCTTTAGAAAAATGTACTGCAAATATCTTCTCCTACTGTCTGGCTTGTGTTTTAACTCTCTTAATGATAAAATTTGATGAGAAAAGGCTTAATCTTAAAATTCAATTTAACAATTATTTCCTTAATTGTTTAAACAATTCATATCCTGTTTTAGACACTTTTATCTCCTTTATTATAATGAAGGTATTATATATCCTAGAAGATTTCATTTTACCTTCCACATTTAGAATCTATACCTCTCTGAAAATAACATGTATCATGTTAGGTGTGAGCCAACGTTCTTTCCCTCATAGGAGAAATATAATTCTCCTAAAATTAGTTACTGAAAAGGCCAGTATTTTGATAATTTTGTGAAGTTCTATATTTTGTTATAACTATCTATATATGTATGCACTACTTGATTTTTATTCCATATCATTGGTTTGTGTTTCATTTTGCACAAATATCCCACTGTCTTCATTATATCAAATATCTGATTTTTATACCCATTAGAGTAAATCCTCCAACTTTGCTCTTAAGATTGTCTTGGCTGGGCTTGGTGGATCACGCCTGTATTCCTGCACATTGAGATGCCAAGGAGGTCAAGAGTTCATGACCAGCCTGACCAACATGGTGAAACCCCATCTCTACTAAAAATACAAAAACAAAATTGCCAGGTGTGATGGCACTCACCTGTAATCTCAGCTACTAGGGAGGCTGAGGCAGGAGAATTGCTTGGACCCAGGAGGCAGAGGTTTCAGTGAGGTGAGAACACACCACCGCACTCCAGGCTGGGTGACAGAGCAAGACATCATCTCAATAAATAAATAAATAAATAAAATATGTATATAGAGAGATTGTCCTTGCTATTGTTAGACTTTTGTTCACCATTTATATTTCTCAGTAATAAACTGCAGAATTCTTGCATAAACTTTTATAGACATATTTTAGATAATGCCTTTGATGCTATTGTAAATGCAATACTTAAAATTTTATTTTCTAATTATTTATTGCAAGTTTTTCTTATGATTTCCTCATTATTGTGACTTTCCTTATGTCTGTCTGTATGTATGTACTTGTGTAAAGTACACAAATATGTATTTTCTACAAATCCAATACAGTAATTGATTTTGTTTCCTTCACATTTATCTTATAATTTATTTTGTATTTTGCACAATAATCTACAGTGCAATGCTGAATAAAAGTAGTGAAAAAGGACATCCCTGACTTTTTTAAAAAACATAGCAGAAAACACTTTAGCGTTTTCCCATTAAATGTGCTTGTTTAGAATATTTCTGCATATTTTTCGTCATATTTAGGAAGTTCCCATTCATTAAAATTGGATAAATATCTACATTTAATAATGTTTATTATAATTGAATGTAATTATATTCATCCATTTCTCATGATTAGAAAACTTGCATTCCTGGAATAGTCACATCATAATTGTGTTTTTTATCCTATATGCACATATTATTGGCTCCATTTTGCTACCTTTTTAAGTGGATTATCTCATCATGTTCACAAGACATATTAGCCTTTAATGTTTCCTTGTAATATCCTTGACAGGTATTGGTTTTAAATGTAATCTGGATTAACAAAATTTGAAGAATTATTTTCTCCTTTTGTTAATCTCTGAGAAAACAAATATTTTTAAATATTCCCAGGGAAGCTATCTCAGCATTAAATTAATTTATTAGAATGTACAACTACTTCATGTACTTTTCATAGACTGTATTTGGCAGCTGACTGCAGTGTTCTACATGTGTCAAGTCCAATTTTTCATTTACTTTGTCCAACTATGTTTTGGCAGATTTTTAGCTCTATTTTTCAGTTTTTGAGAATGCTTTATTCAAATTTCTAATATGATGTTGTATTTGTCAATTTTTCCTTTATGTCTGTCATGTTTTAAAATAAATATTTAAACTCTATGTCACTAAGTACATAAAAATTAGGATTTTTATTTACATAGTGGATTGGATATTTTATTATTCCAAGATAACTATCTGAAGTAGTGCTCTTGACTCAAAAATCTTCATGTTCTGACATGAATATAACAGTTTTCTTTTGTCACTGTTTAAATGGTTTACAATTTCCATGTATTTATTTCCAACCTTTCTGCTTTCTTATATTTAAAATGCGTCTCTATAGTAAGCAACATTTTAAAAAATCAAATTTTATAACCCTTTTATTATTGTCAACAAGTTTATTCAAATCTAAATGTCAGTCTTAGATTTATATTTGTCCCAGCTGTTCTGTGTTCATTTTATTACTATTTAAAAAATATATATTCTAAATATTTTATCTGTATTAACTTTTTAGTTATAAATTATTTTACCATTATTTTAGTGAGTAGTCCAGAAATGAAAATGTACACTGACTTATGAAAGCCTAATATCAATATTCACTTTTGCCATTTCCCAGAAAATACAAGAACCTGAAATATTTTATGTGTATTAGTTCTCTGCTTTCATACAGTTTTGCTATGTATTTTAAGACAGTATATATTTCTTAAGTCTCATAAGGATAGTGTTTAACCTGGATTTATATATTTTAGTTTTTAATGTTATTTATTTCTTCCTGCACCACCATGCTCTTTCATTTGCTATCATTTTCGGGTGTTTCTTTGTTTTTTTTTTGAGACAGAGTCTCGCTCTGTTGCCCAGGCTGGGGAGCAGAGGCGCGCGCGCAAGCTCCACCTCCCGGATTCACACCAGTCTCCTGCCTCAGCCTCCCGAGTAGCTGGGAATACAGGCACCCGCCACCACGCCCAGCTAATTTTTTGTATTTTTAGTAGAGACGGGGTCTCACTCTGTTAGCCAGGATGGTCTCGATCTCCTCACCTCGTGATCTGCCCGCCTCAGCCTCCCAAAGTGCTGGGATTACAGGCATGAGTCACCGTGCCCGGCCTCAATTGCTATCATTTTCTGTTTGACTAAAACCACTTTACAGAATGTTTTATTCTGGGATTTTTATATGTCTTTTTTTAAAATATTATTTGTGGGCTAAGGATTTTATATTGATTCTTATTGTTTTTACAGAATTTTAGAAAAATCTATATTTTCAAATTTTCTTTTGTAATGATGGTATTCATTTTTTTATTTTATTTAAAAGTAGTATGTACCACCTTCTTTCTGCTTTCTGTATTTCTTCTGTGCCTACAAATGTAGTTTTCTTTGTATTTCTCTCACTTGGAGTTTGTAGTGGTTCTGGAATCTGTGGCATTTTCATCAGAGTGAAAAGTCTCCCCTCAGATATTAGCTCCTCTAATATTCCTTCTATCCCATTCTTCTTCCTTCCTTTTCTGGGAATCCTATAAGCTTTTCATTGTTTTCTAAAAGTTTTTTCCTATATTTTCAACTTAAAAATAAATATCTGTTCTTTAGACTTGGGAAGTTCTTCTGATCAATCTCTCATTTCCTTAGGTGTATCTAATCAATGAAAATCATCTAATATATTTATTGTGTGTTTTATTTATAGAATTTCATTTTATCTTTTATTTTATAATTTTCAGTTCTATATTGATACTCTTCTTCTTTTGTAAGTTCTTGACATATTAAGCATAGTCATTTAAAACTCCACATCTGATAACAACAGTGCTTGTATTTCTTGTGACCATGCATCTCTGCCTTTTGTCTTTTAATTTTAATTAATTCATACTTTTACTCACTTTAATATTTTTATTGGATCCTGGATATATGTATAAAAACTTACGAATAAAATTTTAGGCTCTTAATGATATTATTTTCCTCCAGAGAGGATTAACTTTTCTTCTATCAAATACTAAGTGTAAGGAATTGAGCTGCTTTTGTGTAAGTCTTTAGCTTTAGTGAGGACTTTCATGTAGTTCACTCTTTAATCATTTGACCTATGGCAGTCTGAGAGCCACTGAAGGCCATCAACTGGTGGAAGGCCATCAACTCTGTATATTTGTTCTTCATCCCTTAAACTGCTCACTGCTTTGCTTGTTTTCTTGCCTTATCAACTATTGCTTGTTGATCAGTTTCTGTCTCTAAGACATGGTTGTAGAAATAGCAAATGCCTCAAGGAACAAATAAACAAGAAATGTCATGTTTCACTCTGTAGACTTTGTTTCTGTCCAATATGTTATTTTAGAATGTACCTTCTGTTCCATTAGTTGGGTTTCTCTTATTCAGGAATACCAGTAATGCTTTGTTAGTTCCTTTTTATCTAGCTTCCTTTTCAACTCGTTCCTCTCTACTTGCTTCGCTCTGTCTCTTTATTATGTTTCTTTGAGTCATCAATTCAATTTTCAAAAATGTCCTTTCAATTTCCCAACGTTTTAAAATTTTTTTTTTAATTATAATGATGCAGGTGCAATGGCTCACACTTGTAATCCTAGCACTTTCACAGGCTGAGGCTTTCCTCTATGATAAAATCATATTGTATTTTTTTCTATGGTATTTTTGAACATGATTGCTCTTTTCTCCTTGCTACTTGTTTCTACATGTAAAGTATAATCTTTGTTTTTTGGTGGTGGGCTGCTCATATCTGATTAAATGAGGTTTCATGTTAAATAATACTCTAGATATGGCTTTGACTGCAAAACTGATTTTTTAAATTATGAAACATAAAAGAAGAACAGATTTTTAATGAACCTAAATAAACAACTGTACTTCATATAAGGTAACTCAGTGGAATATTTGTTTACATGATTTGAATATTCTTTGATTCAGGGAGAATTTGACACTGTGTAAAAAGGATTTACATCAGTTTACATAGAATGGTATACTACAGTTTTTCTCAAGCTTTTTGGTATTCACATAACTTTGTAATTTTAAATATTTTTGAAAAATCCAAAGAGTTTTCGTTTATATGGGATAAATTTATCAATATGTATAATATTAAATAATAAACCTAATAAACATAAACATAAATATTTATGTAAAGAAAACTGTTACCCAAAACAAAAGTACAGTACAATGAGTAGAACTGTTTTATTAATTTTGAGAATTTGTTTGTACACCTTAATAGAAAACAACTGAATTTTCCTATCTATTGCAATATCACATGTTGCATATAGCTTTTGGAAAACTTTCCTGCACAGCTGTTGAGAGAATGAAAGTGAAAAATAACATATTATTTAAATAACATATTATTATGAAAATAGTTTTGACTTTGAAGACATTCTGAAAGTATCTCTAAGACCTCTGATGGTTTGATAACTTAGAAGAAAAAAAATTATAATAGATTCATCAGAAAACAGATGGACATTGACATTCAAAATAATACAAACCAAACTCTAAATAACTAGTAGCTGTCAGGGGAAATTTGGTCACTTGATTAAGTTAGTATCATGTGTACCTGAGAAATAAATGTTTGACTGCCTATCTAATCAGAATGAGAATAAAATGCTGTAGCAGAAGAAGTTCATCCAACTATATAAAAAGCCAACCTCTTCAGAGGCCAGTAACCTGTGTTTAAAAAAAAAATCAGGAATATGAAAAAAAAGTCAACAGAAAGTATTCAGTTCACATTAGAATATCTGTTATCTGGGCCAATTCACAAATGGTAAATATATATATATATATTAATACTCACAGATAATAGAAGATTGATTCTTCAAGAGCAATTTTCATTTGAATAAAGAAAAGCAAGAGTCTAGTTTTGCACTAATATAATATTTGTAAGTAAAGGATTCATACTCTTCTTCTAAAAGTGATTTTCATATAAACAAACTCATCAAAACTGGTCAAACATTGCCAAAATTGTAACACATTTGATAACTTATTTTCAGAATAAAATATTAGAAATGAAGACAAATAAAATTTATTTCCCTCAATTCCCATACACACTGAAGTTTTGTCTTTCACTATGTTCTTTTACAGTCTAGAATATACAAGAACTTTAGAATATAACTACTGTCTTTTTTGAAAATCAGAAAATCTCATAGTTTTGCATACACAGTTGTATTTCTCTGTTAATACCAATCCTGCTGTAGTTGCAACTACCCATATTAATCATAATTTTAACCGAAGTAAATTTCTTCTATTTCATAAAGAAAATGCAGAAGTAGATAAGCAAGTAATGTCTGTCCGATATAATCACTTTGCAGAGTCAGAAAGTTAAAGTCCCAATGCCTCTTGAAAATTACTTTTGGAGCCAAGACAAGCCGTGCCATCAGATGCCGTTCTCAGGTAATTCAGTGTAATTGTCTGTGATATGTGAATCTAACGAGCATCTTCATAGAACTTCCAAAGCTGTTAACATATAACTTTTTAAAAGTTCAAAGCATGACTATTATATAAACAGAAAACACATGTGTCAAATTTTATTTATTGTATTCATCAGTGACAGAACCAGTAGGTTATTAAAACTATGTCAAAAGATAATTCAATGAACAGAGATTTATTTCATCAAAGAATTCACAAAAGCTTGTTAATAAAAATTAGTAAAAATTTTAAATGTCTGATAACCCTTTAAACTGAAATCCTAAAATCTCTGAGCTTATCTTTTCGACTTGACAAAAACCTGTGAGTTAACATTTAATTTCACAGTTTCAGGGCCCTAATAAAATAGTAAATAGGAAAGTAAAATACAGGTGCATCCTCCTAGATAATTCAATAATTCTTCAGTGAGCCTGTTAAACAATGACATTGAAAGGACATGCAGTTATACTCCTGCTTTACTTTCAACTTATGAATATTTTTTCTTAAGAAAAGTAATGGTAAAAAGAATTTGACACACATAAAAAGGCTTAAACAAGGTCGCTCAAAGACACAAAGTATAATTCATTGCAACTTTTACAACCTGATGCCACTCTTGCCAGGTTGGGCGGAAGAAACTGTAGTATACCTAGTGTCAGCTTTTTATTTTAAAAATTAGCTAGTAGTATTATTAAGTAGTAAGTATTAAAAATATAAGCAAGAACAAATTTGACCCAATAGTGTATACTTTAAACCTATTCACAATCAAGCAGGTAGAACAAGATGGCTGAACGGAAGCCTCTAACAATCATCCTCCCCACAGGAATACCAAATTTGACAACTATCTACACAAAAATCACCTTCATAAGAACCAAAAATCACGTGAGCAATCACAGTTCCTGGTTTTAATGTTATATCACTGAAAGAAACACTGAAGAGATAAGGAAAGACAGTCTTGAATCAGTGATACCACCCCTCCCCAATCCACTGGCAGTACACCTGTCGTGTGGAGAGAGAATCTGCGTGCTTAGGGGAGGGAAAGTGCAGTGACTATGAAACTCCACATTGATCTCAGTGCTGCCCTGACACAGTGGAAAGCAAAACTGGGCTGAACTCAGCTGATGCTCACTTATGGAGGGTGTATTTAGACCAGTTCCAGAAAAAGGGAAATCACCCTTCCCAGTAGTTGGAACATGAGTTTCTGAAAGCCTCGCCACCATGACCTAAAGTGCTCCAGGGTCCTAAATAAACCGGAAAGACATTCTAGGCCAGAAGAACTGCAACTCCTAGACCAGTCTTAGAGCTAAGTCCCAGGCCTGGAAACATTCATCACAAGCTGAGTGAAAAGCATTTGGGCCTTCAGGGAACATTGGTGATAGTCCGGCAGTACTTCCCATAGAGCTGTGGTGGTCACGGCCACAGGGAGAGGCTGCTGTGCCTATGGAAAGGAGATGGACAAGTTGCAAAATATTTGTCATGTGTTTCGCGAATAGCTTAGCTACAATAGAATGGAGCACTATGTAGATTTCTAAGGTTTCCAACTCTAGTCCCTGGCTCCTGGATGGCATTTCTGGACTCACCTGGGGCCTGGGGAATTTGCCACCCTGCAAGGAGGGAAACAATCGAGACTGGATTCACTGTCTACTGACTGCAGAGTGCTAGGGTCTTGAGCAAACATAGGTGGTAGCCAGGTAATAGTCCTCGAGTGAGACCCAGCACTGTGCTGGCTTCAATTCTGACCAAGTGCACCATCAGTGGCGATCACAGGGGTGCTTGTGACAACCAACCAATGCTCCAAGCAGCTCAACACAAAGAGAAAGACTCAATTTATATGGGAGAACATAAGGAGAGAGAACTAGAGTCTCTATTAGAATCCAGAGAATTCTTCCAGAACTTATTCAAGACCACCAAGGTGCTAGCTCCATAGGTCTGACAGAGCCAGAGTTACTGGACTTGGGGTGCCCCCAGTGCACATACAGCTTAAATAGCAACACCAAAGCCACTGGGAATACCTGGATAGCTCCCCAAGAAGGACAGATACAAATAAGCCCAGATAGTGAAGATTAAAATAAATATCTGACTCATCAATATCTAAATACCAGCGAATATTCAGAAGCATCAGGACCATCCAGGAAAACATGACCTCACCAAATGAACTGAATAGGGCACCAGGGATCAATCCTCGTAACACACAGACATGTGATCTTTCAGACAGAGAATTCAAATAGCATCAGAATCTCTAAATAGCAGAATTGATCAAGCAGAAGAAAGAATTAGTAAGTCGGAAGACAGGCTATTTGAAAATACATAGTCAGAGGAGACAAAAGAAAAGAGAATAAAAAATAATGAAGCATGCCTACAAGAACTAGAAAACAACATCAACAGGGTAAACCTAAGAGTAATTGGCCTTAAAGAGGAGCTAGAGAAAAAAATAGGAGTAGAAAGTTTATTCAAACAGATAATAACAGAGATCTTCCCAAACCTAGTGAAAAATATCAATATGCAAGTACAAGAAGGTTATAGAATACCAAGCAGGTTTAACCTGAAGAAGATTACCTCAAGGCATTCAAATTCTAAAAGGTCAAAGATAAATAAAAAGTTCCTAAAAGCAGCAAGACAATATAAACAAATAACATACAAAGGAGGTCTAGAAGTCTGCCAGTAGACTTTTCAATGGAAATCTTACAGGTCAGGAGAGAGTGACATGAAATATTTAACGTGCTGAAGGGGGAAAAAAACAAACAAACCCACATTCACCCTACAATAGCATATCCAGTGAAAAACTTCAGACATGAATGAGATATAGAGTTTCCCAGACAAACTAAAGCTGAGGAATTTCATCAACACCATACCTTCTCTACAAAACATGCTAAAAGGAGTCTTCAATCAGAAATAAAAATACATTAGTGAGTAATAAGAGATCATAGGAAGTTACAAATGTCACTGGTAATAAATAGTAAGCACACAGAAAAACACAGAATATTACAACACTAATTGTGATGTTTAAACTACTCTCATCTTCAGTCAAAAGACTAAAAGATGAATAAAAAAATAATAATTACAACATTTCAAGACATTTACAGTACAATAAGATATAAGTGGAAACAACAAAAAGTTTAAAAGCCAGGGAATAAACTTCAGATATTAGGGTTTTTATTAGTTTCTTTTTTGCTTGTCTGCTTGTTTATGCATATAGTGTTAAGTTGTCATCAGTTTAAAATAATGATTAATAAGATGTTATTTCCAAGTTTCATGGCAACCTTAAATCAAATACATACAACAAATACACACACACACACAAAGCAAGAAATTAAACCATACCACCAGAGAAAATCACCTTCACTAAAAGAGAGGAAAAAAGGAAAAAAGAGAAGACCACAAAACAACCCGAAAACAACAAAATGGCAGGCATATGTACTTATTATAAATCATAACATTGAATGAAAATGGAATTAACTCTCCAATCAAAAGACATAGAATGGCTGAATGGATTTAAAAAAATCAAGCCCAATGATCTGTTGCCTAAAAGAAACACACCTCACCTATAAAGACATATATAGACTAAAGAGATGGAAAAGTTAGTAATTCTGTGCCAATGGAAATCAAAAAAGAAGAAATGGCTATGATTACATCAGACAAAATAGATTTCAAGACAAAAACTGTAAGAGAAAAAGAAGATTGTTATATAATGATGACAAGGTCAATTCAGCAAAAGGATATAATGATTGCTAATATATATGTACCCAACACAAGAGCACAAGATATATAAAGCAAATATTATTAGAGCTTAAGAGAGAGACCTCAATACAGTAATAGTTGGAGATATCAACACCCCACATTCAGCATTGCACTGATCTCCCAGAGAGAAAACCAGCAAAGAATGGTTGGACTTAATCTGCACTATAGAAGAAATGGATCTAAGAGATATTACAGAATATTTCATTCAATGGCTTCAGAATACACATTTTTCTCCTCTGGACATGAATCATTCTCAAGGGTAGATTATACGTTAGATCACAGAACAAGTCTTAAATTCAAAAAAAAATAAAATAATATCAAGCATTTTCTCTGACCTCAGTAAAATAAAACTAAAAATCAATGAGAAGAGACATTATGAAAACTGCAAGAACCCATGAATATTAAACAATATGTTCTTGTATGACCAATGCATCACTTAATGAATTAAGAACAAAATTGAAAATTTTTTGAAACAAATGATAATGAAAACACAACATAACAAAACCGATAGGATACATTGAAAGCAGTACCAAGAGAGAAGTTTACAGCTATAAGCACCTGCATCGAAAAAGGAGAAAAACTTGACAAATAATTTAATGATGCCTCTTAAAGAAATAGAAATGCATGAGCAAACAACACAAATTTAGTAAAGGAAAAGAAATAATATATATCAGAACAGAAATAAATAAAATTGAAATGAATAAAACAATGTAAAAGACCAATGAAGTGAACATATTTTTGAAAAGAAACAAAATTGACAATCCTTTAGCCAAACTAGAAAACAGAGAAAAAGCAAATACAATCAGAAATGAAAAAGGAGACATTACAACCAATACTGTAGAAAATCAAAGGATCATTAGTGGCTATTATGAATGAGTATATGCCAATTGATTGGATTATTTAGAAAAATGAGATAAATTCCTAGACACATACAACCTACCAAAATTGAAGAAGGAGGAAATTCAAAACCTGAACATACCCATAACAAATACCAAGATCTAAAGTATAATAGAAAGAATCCTAGCAAAAAAAAAAAAAAAAAAAAAAAAAAGTCTGTGACCTAATGGCTTCACTGCTGAATTCTACTGAATATTTAAAGAAGAACTAAAACAAATACTATGCAAACTATTCTGAAAAATAGAGGAGGAATTCCTTCCAATGTCATTCTATGAGGTCAGTATTACTCAGATACCAAAGCCAGACAGAGACATCAAAACAAAAAAAAATAAATAAAAAATCCAAAAACCTACATGCCAATATCCCTGATGAACATTGGTGCAAAAGTCCTCAAAAAAAAAAAACAAAAAACTTAGCAAATGAAGTTCAACAACACTTTTAAAAAGATCATTCATCATATCATGACCAAGTGGGATTTATCCCTGAGATGCAAGGATGGTTCAACATACACAAATTAATCAGTGTGATACGTTGTATGAGCAGAATGAAGAATAAGAACCATATAATTATTGTAATTATTCTGAGAATGCATTTAATAGAATACAATATCCCTTTAAGAAAAAAAATCCTCAAAAAATGGGTATAGAAGGAATATACCTCAATATAATAAAGGCCACATATGACAGCCCGACAGCTAGTGTAATACTGAAGGGGAAAAATTGAAAGCCTTTTTCTTCAAGATTTGGAATATGACAAAAATGCCCACTTCCATCACTGTTATTCAACATAGTGCTGGAAGTCCTAACTAGAGAAAGAAATAATGTGCATCCAAATTGGAAAGGAAGACAACAAATTATTGTTGTTTGCAGATGATATAATCCTATATTTGGAAAAACCTGAAGAACCTACCAAAAAACTATTAGATTTGATAAACAAATTCAGGAATGTTCAGGATACAAAGTCAACACACAAAAATCCACAACATTTTTATATGCCAAGAATGAACAATATGAAAAAGAAATAAAGAAAGCAATTCCATTTAAAGTAGCTACAAATAAAATGAAATACCTAGGAATGAACCAAAGAAGTGAAAGAATTCTACAATGAAAACTATAATACACTGATGAAATAATTTGAAGAGGGCATAGAAGAATGGAAAAATATTCTGTAATCACGGATGGGAAGAATCAATATTGTTAAAATGTCCATAATACACAAAGCAATCTACAGATTCAGTGCAATCCCTGTCAAAATACCAGTGACATTCTTCACATAAATAGAGAAAACAGTCCTAATATTTATACGGAACCATAAGAAACTCTTAATAGCCTAGGGTATCCTAAGCCAAAAGAACAAAATTGGAGAAATCATATTACCTGACTTCAAATTATACTACAGAGTTATAGTAACTAAAGCAGCATAGTATTGGCATGAACAAAAGGCACATAGGCCAATGGTACAGAGTAAACAACCCAGAAACAAATCTACACGTCTACAGTGAACTCATTATTCAACAGAGGTGCTAAGAACATACATTGGGAAACGAGTCTTTTCAATAAATGGTGCTGGGAAAACTGGATATCCATACGCAGAAGAATGAAACTAGCCCCCTCTCTCTTTCTATATATAAAAATCAATTGAAAATAAAGTATTAGGCTGGTGCAAAAGTAGTGGCAGGTTTTACCATCATTTTCAATGGCAAAAACCGCAATTACTTTTGCACCCATCTAATAACTTAAATTTAAGATCTTAAACTATGAAATAGTGAAAAGAAAACATTGGGAAAAATCTCCATGACATTCCACCGGACAAAGATTTCTTGAGTAACACCTAGCAAGCACAGGCAACCAAAGCAAAATGGACAAGTGGGATCACAACAAGTTAAAAAGCTTCTACGCAGCAAAAGAAACAACAAAATAAAGAGACCACCCACGGAAGGAAGAAAATATTTTCAAACTACCCATCTGACTAGAGACTAATAACCAGAGCATATAAGGTGCTCAAACAACTCAACATGAAAAAATCTAATAATCCAATTAAAAAAATGAGAAAAAATGCTGAAAAGACATTTCTCAAAGGGCAACAGACATCCAAATGACAAACAGGTATATGAAAATGTGCTGAACATCATTGATCATCAGAGAAATGCTAATCTGAACTATGGTGAAATATCATCTCATCCCAGTTAAAATGACCTCTAGGCAAAAGACAGGTAATACAAAGTTTTTGCAAGGATATGGAGAAAAGGGAACCCTCCTACGCCATTGGTGGAAATGTAAATTAGTACAACCACTCTGGAGAATAGTTTGGAAGTTCCTTAAAAAACTATAAACAGAGGCTGGATGTGGTGGCTCATTCATGTAATCCCAGCAATTTGAGAGGCTGAGATGGGCAGATAACCTGAGGTCAGGAGTTCAAGACCAGCCTGGCCAACACGGAGAAACCCCATCTCTACTAAAAAATACAAACGCATGCTGGAACACACCTGTGGTCCCAGCTACTCAGAAGACCGAGGCAGGAGAATTGCTTGAACCCAGGAGGTTGAGGTTACAGTGAGCTGAGATCATGCTACTGAACTCCAGCCTGAGTGACAGAACAAGACTCCCTCTCTAAGAAAAAAAAAAAAAAAAAAAAAAAAAACAACTAAAAATAGAGCTATTACAGGATCCATCAATATCACTCCTTGGTATATATCCAAAAGAAAGGGAATCAGTGTATCAAAGAGATATCTGCACTCTTATGTTTATTGCAACACTATTCACAATAGCCAAAATTTGGAAGCAACCCAAATGTCCATCAACGCATGAATGAATAAAGAATATGTGGTACATATACATAGTAAAGTACTATTCAGCCATTAAAAAGGAGATTCTATCACTCACAACAACATGGATGGAACTGGAAGTCGTCACATTGAATAAAATAAGCCAGGCACAGAAACTTCACGTTTTCACTTATTTGTCAGAGCTAAAAATTAGAGCAGTTGAAGTCATGAAGATGTGGAGTAGAAGGATAGTTAAAGAGCCTGGGAAGAGGAGTGGAGGAGTGGAGGAAAAATGAAGATTGTTAATGGGTACAAAAAATAGAGTGAACGAGACCTAGTGTTTGTTAGCACAACAGTGTGGCTACAGTTAACAATTATTTAATTGTACCTTTAAAAATAACGAGAAGAGTATAATTAGATTGTAATATAAAGGACAAATGCTTGAGGTGATGGATACCATTTTTACCCTGATGTGATTATTATGTGTTCTGTAAATGTATAGTAGCAAAATATCGCATGTCCCTCATAAATATATAAACCTACTATGTACTCATAAAAATTAAAAATTGAAAAATAATTTTCAAAAAGTATTTCCTTGATTCTTAAAAGCATGGTATGAAGAAAACAGGGCAGGTTTTACACCTCTGTTTTACTAATCATATTTCAATATTGACCAAAGCATAAGAAAAATATTTTTTCTTACTGAATTGTTTTATGATGAACTACAGTGAAATAGCTCCATTGTCTAGGGTATATACCCTGGCTCTAGGTATCTGTTGAGAAAAAAATCAGGACACAGACACACATGAGGAATGGGTTTTGGAGTAGAAAGTTTAATAGAAAAAGAAGAAAAGAGAGAGAAAAAAAGCTTCCTCATGTTGAGAAAGCCCAAAAGACGGCCTCCAAGCAGAAAAAAGGACTGGCTGGTGCTTTATAGTCCAGTTTGAGGAGGCGGTATCTGATTTTCATAGGGCTCATAGATTGGTTTGATCAGTTATGATGCCCACATAGAGCACAGGGAAGGCTGGTCACCCCACTCTAATCTTATTATGCAAATGGGCATTCCAGTTTATCTGCACCATCTTGTCTGCTTCTTATTGTACCCGTGACTGACCAAGAGAAGAAAACAGAGCTGCCATCTTGAACATGATTGACACAACTGCTGGTATCTGCGTCTGCAGCTTGATTTTACAGGTGGCTCTTCATTAGAAAGGAAAATACTTTGGGGCTGCTTTTCATTAAAAAGAATTCTTACCAAGGACTCCTATACCTTTACTATCTGCCTAAGTAATTTCTTCTTAACTCCTATATCATCCCCAACTCTGGAGTGGTAAACCTAACTGCTGTTAGGGGTGTTGGATGATGACTCTTTCTGGCTACTTCCTGCTGAAAAGGGGTGTCATGTGGGGAGCAGCAACTAGGGCTCCTCCTAGGGTTGATCTAAGGGTCCCCAGAAGAAAGGCAAATTGCTATAAATTATTTAGTTTGCCAAAATGATGACTCAAAAACAAAAACCTTCCATTAGCCTTTACTATTACATGAAAATCTTGTTTAGAGCCAAATTTTACCCTTACACTAGTCTATTAATGTTAACTCCAATTTGTTTAAATGAAACCTTATAGACGATTCCATCTAATTTTAACCAATTTGACCATGAGGTGAAATCTTTACAAATCCTTCATAACCCTTTTACTAAAGGGCAAATCAGTATCTTAAGACCTTCTTGCTGTGCTTTATTTGAATGCTCAATTTATGAAAAGATCATAAATACCCTTCTGAGTTTAATTAATGTTTACACATTTTTGCAAGATTAATTTTTACAATCTTTCTATAACTTGCTTAAGCCTCTAGCTCTATCTTATCAAATTTAACATAATCCATCATCCAAGGGCAAAATTTACATTTCTATGCTTTGTTATAATCTTTTAATAAAAAACACATTTTATTGTTTTTATATGCCTTGAATGTAAAATTGTTTATTGATCTCAAATACATGTTGCACTTTTAACTTTAAGCAGCTTTCATTTTTGGTGAAAAACCTGGTTAGTAAGCGATTTTAATTATGCATCAGGTATGGAGCCTAGGACCCAGACAGAAGTGCAGATAAGGTCTGACTCTTCAGTGTCTAGTTTCTTGTGTCCCAGGACTTACCCATCTTTAAAGCAGGTAGAATACAACCTTGGAACATTTAGCAAACCTAGTATCTGAGTTTTATTATTTAGACCACCTATTTGCATTTTGATGACATTTGCATTTTACCAAAAATCCTTAAGACTATTTTTATTTCTTAAAGATTAAAGTCACATGAACTAAGAAATATTTGATGTAAATGCTTATTTTTCTTTAAGCCAATCAATTAGAGCTCTTTTTATAGACATTACACACAACACCTATACAGCAACACAGACAGAAGATTTAGCACTTGTAAGACTTTTTATTTGTCAGTTTCTTAATTGGATTACTGGCTTCAGGGTGGAGCCCTTGGAGAAACAGGGCCAGGAAGGCATGCATTTTTAGAGCCTAACAAGCAGGTACAGCCAAAGGCAAAGACAGATTCCTAAAATTAATGGTGCCATTTTATACTGGATCTTGGGTCTCCAAAAGGAGGAAGATACTATGGGAGAAGACTGTAGTGCTTCTACCATGCATTTCATCGCAAGGCAACCCAAAGCCAATCAGCTTATTTTGTAATTAGCTCACCCCCCATGGGAGTCTCATCTTTTAGTGGGGAGTGGGGATGTTTTCATATCATTCATGTGTCCAAGAGCATGCTTCTCTGATTACTATTAGGCATCCCTTAAAGTGCATTTTCTACACAGCTATTACACACCAAAGCTCTATCACAATGTGAAGTAATTTGGTACCCCCAAAACTCAAAAGGGTCAGATAACACAATGCATAGCAGAGCAGAGCCTTTGATTTTGAGAGGAAACTATCTGCTTTTAATTGTGGGCGTTTCATGAGGAAAACAGAGGGTTCCCCCCACCCAAAACAGGGTCTGTGGCACCTCCTCTGTTTTCCCATGGAGTCCCATGCTACCAGAAGTTATCTTAGGACCTCTTATGCATGTGTTAAGAGTGGCAAAACAAAAAAGTGGAGATACAAGAAGAGAAAAACCTAAAGGTCTTTAAAATATACTTATAAATTGAATATCCACTTTCAATTAAGCTGAGCACTCTTTAGGAAAATCCTTTTTAATCCCTTGTTACTCAACTTTAGCCACGTGAAGTAGTAAAGATTTTTGGCTTTTAAACTTTACAAAAAGTAACCTCACAGGTGAAACCAACAACCCTTAATTAGGTTATGACCTAACGGTGAGTGTACAAGGTATTTTCAAAAGGATGATAGGCAGCTTTTGAAACTATCATTGCAAAATTGTGACTGAGACAATGAAAGTGATCCAAACCAAACAACTCCATTTTGTTTCTAGCCACCAAGCTGTCCTTGCCCATCCCTGGGCATAGGCTGAACCAACTTTGGGAGGAGTCTGGTTTTCAGTTGATAGTCTAAAACAAAGATGATACCAGCCCCTTCTTAAAATATACTTCCCTCTTACCTGGGGACCAGAGCAAGAAACTACCCATAATATTAGAAAACCATTAGATCCAACCCAAACAATTCCATTTTGTTTCTAGCCACCAAGCTGTCCTTGCCCATCCCTGGGCATAGGCTGAACCAACTTTGGGAGGAGTCTGGTTTTCAGTTGATAGTCTAAAACAAAGATGATACCAGCCCCTTCTTGAAATATACTTCCCTCTTACCTGGGGACCAGAGCAAGAAACTACCCATAATATTAGAAACCATGGCTTAGGAGTCATGCAGCTGGAGCCTACAAGATTTTGACCCTCCCTAAACTGCTCTCATGATCAGTGCTTAAGATATTTTGTAAACTGTGCCCTTGACGGATCGGCTGTCACCACCCAGATGGACAAACTGGCTTATCTGATTTTGTGGCTCTCACCCAGGAACTGACTTAGCACAAGAAAACCACCACCATTGTAAGATGACAGAGACTAAAAGTATTTCCATGTGGTTACAGGTCATGTTCCCAAGGACGTGAAACAAGATGGAGGCCTGTAGCTGAGTTTGTTACTGGCCATTTTGTTGGGCTGCTTTGAACAGCAGGCTAATGGGGTCCTGGGCCTGCATCCTAACCTAAGATACCCTTTCTTTGACAGAACTGTACAGGAAGACATGCAAAGCAAACCAGATTGTCTACAGCTTAAGACCAACCTCACAAATCCTTTTCCATTGATTACAACTTTATAGATAATATAAACAATGATCTTTGTTATCTCTTTTACTGGTTTCCATAGGAACAGAGAAGCCAAAAGCCTGACTGGTAAGAAATTTTTACCCTCTTGCCAGCATATCAGGCTTCTGGGTTCCCTTCCCCCAGCTCAACTCTAAGCCAAGCATGTTAAAGTTTGGAAAATTAACTTTTCCTAGTTTGGAAGAACATAATAACAAAAGCCATTTAAAACTGTGAAAGAAGGAAAGACACCATAGACCTGAATTAAATTGTGGAAAGCTTCTATATACCTGTCAGGGTTGTCAGAAAATTGGCCTAAGTCTCCTTTTATTTACCTAAGGTCCTGTAATGAGAAGGGAACCTGAAGGGGCCCCAGATAAGGGGGATCCTCGGATGGTTCCCTGGAAGTTGCTTCTCTAATTTTGGAACCACTCTCTTTGGGCATGCCCAATGTGTTTGCTAAAATAAGCTGGGTTTATCTTACAACACTTGCAAAAATTTAGTAGAAATGCCATACCCTTGTGCAAAAAAAAAAAAAAAAAAAAAAAATCACTGTTCTGTTCAAAGTCCTGAGGTTAAGAAAGTTCCAGTGTTTTAGAGTGAACTCCAGAGGGGTGCAAGCCGAAGATAATCTGTTACCCATCTAGACAGATAAATGAGGGAAGGCATCCCTTTAGTCCCCTTTTCTATATGCTCCAGTTAACTTCTGAACTTAAATTCCCTTACTATTTTAAGTACTGTTCTAATTGGAGACAGACTTGGAGTCTTACAAGAAGGTAGGGACCAAATGGTCATTCTCTTCTATATGTGACCCAGGGTGGAGAAGAGAACAGTGAGGGGGATACCTCTGACTATTTTTCCTCCCTGGTTCCTGGGTGCCAGCATCCTGTTAAATGTGCTGACCATGGCTGAAGGTGTGACTCGTCAAGCCACGGCACCAGGGAAACAAGACTTCTGGGCCAAGTCACGCTTACCCAAGTAGCCCTAGCTATCTGCCTATTTCCCTTTGGCTTCCTAGACATGTGTGACCTGCCTGGCTCCCGAAAAAATGGATCTCTGGAGAAACTCTAATGGTTGCCTTTGGCCAAGGCTTCTTTAAAAGAGGCAATGTGGTAGATTGCCTGCTGTTACAGCTCATGCTAAAACATTTACTCTTAGAAAAATGGTTCCAGTTAACTTCTGAACTTAAAATCCCGTTACTACTTAAGTACTGTTCCAACTGGAGACATACTTGGTGTCTTACAAGAAGGTAGAGACCAAATGGTCATTTTCCTGCTGATGGGACAGTATCAGAACTAAAATTTGGCTATGGAGGACATTTTACTCCTAACTGCTGAAGGCAGAGCTTTCCGGTTCACAGAAGGGGCTTAGCGCCTGATTTCTAGTGGCACGAAAGAAAGCTGCACTGTACAACAAAGGACCAGTAATGTGCCTCATGAAGAGGACTTCTATTTCTACTAGGTGGTGGTGGTGGCTTAGAAATACCATACGCTCGCCAGATAAACGGTAGAGAGAGCAAAAGCTTTTTGAATTATTTCCTGCCGCGTTTGCTGATCTTTCCTAACAGACCTGTTAGCTTGAACTGTAAAAATTTCCGTACATCGCATACACGGAGAGAATAGACATAGTGATCATAGACAGGAAAGAAGGAAAATTTAGTGAGAGGATAGCTGGAAAAGAGCCTTGTGATTAAAGGAGGTTTGCTCCTTACTTACCACTCCGATGTTTCTATCTTCGGTTTTGATCTGGACCCAGGAGAGAACCCAATATGAAACAACTCTGTTGTCTGCAGTCTTTACTCTGGCTTTTGGTCTCAGTCAAGAAGGAATTCAGGACACAGAACACATGAGGGGTGGGTTTTGGAGTGGAAAGTTTAATAGAAAAAGAAGAAAAGAGAGAGAAAAAGCTTCCTCATGTTGAGAAAGCCCAAAAGAGGGCCTCCAAGCAGAAAAAAAGGACCAGCTGACATAAATGCGCCAAGTTTTATAGTCCAATTTGAGGAGGTGGTGTCTGATTTACATAGGGCTCATTGATTTATTGGATCAGCTGTGGTATCTACATGGTGCACGGGGAAGGCTGGTCACCCCACCCTAATCTTATTATGCAAATGGCATTCCAGTTTATTGGCACCATCTTGTCTGCTCCTTCTTCTCCTTTTTTTTTTTTTTTTTTTTTTTGTGGTGGAGTCTGGCTGACAAAGAGAAGGGAAGATGGAGCTGCCATCTTGAACATGATTGGCACAACTGCCGGTATCTATGTCTGCAGATCGATTTTACAGGCTGCTCTTCGTTAAAAAGGAAAATAATTTGGGGCTGCTTTTCATTATAAAGAAAAACCTTACTGAGGACTCCCATGCCCTTAGCAGCTGCCTTAATTTCTTAACTCCTATATCAACATGAAACACATAATTATGAAAATAAAAACCTCAGTAATATATTATCAAAATATATTACCACATTCATCCATGAATCTATGTATTAAAAAGTTAATTTTTTAATAATCAGTTATATTTCATAGAATAGATATAATCTCTAGGTCACATTTAAATATGGAAATTTCTTAAGCTGAGAAAAAAATCCTGAATAGATTTAAAAACTTTGTTTGCCAAACAGTTTTTGCCACTTATATAGATGTTATTTTAACCCCCTACTGTGTAACTGATCCAATTATCATTAGCTGCCAATCCTGGGAATTGCAGAGCTCTTATTCCCCTCAGTATTAAAATCTTTTACCTGTTTTTATTTAGTGAAACCATCAACGTCCACCTGTAGAAACTCATTTTGGATTATATATGGCAGCTGCTATGAGAATAGAACTTTCATCTGACCAATTACATTTAAAAATTTTTCAATCATAACTATTATATATGTCTCATATATATTTCATATATAGTTATATATATATAGTTATAGTTATCTGCTATGCAATAACAAGAGATATGTTTCCAGTACAATTCTCTGCAATTTCAGGTTACTTTGTATTTTCTATATTTTAAAAGATTGTTTAAAATAGAGAAATAATAGAATTATTAAATCAGATTGTTCATTTGTGAAATAAGTTTTAAAAATATTTCAGTGATTCTTATTTTATGGTATTCCTAGAACTAAAGAAAGATTCCAAGACAAATGAATTTTAGGAAAAAAAAGTTTATTTTAAATAATTTTTTCGAAGAGGTCCATGTTTTGAATATATAATCTCAAAAAATAGAAAGTAAATATTGAAAAGAAAAATACATTTTTTAAAGGAGCAAATATTCAGCAATTCTCACTAGATACCCAGCTTAAAATGTTCAAATGTGAGTTTGACTGTGAATTATGATGTACATTTAGAGAAAGGGTGATATGTCAGTTTTGTTTTCATAGTGCTAATAAATGTGACAAAAATGTCAATAACAATAACTATTATGGTAGCTATCATTATTTTTCACTCTAAAAATATTTGAGTTTCTACTTTGGACTAGTCGCTGCGAATATGGCAGTGAAAAGAATAAGGATCCTGCTTTCATGGAGCTTACATTTTAGTTGTGGGTAGGCGAGAACAAATAAACAAGCAAAAGTCTGTTAAATGTTGACAACTGCTGCCAAAGTCCCTTAGAAAAGGATTTTCGGGAACACACCTGAAATCAAAGTAAATTATATTCGGTTTGCTACAGAAAGGGAGGGCACACACCAGAGATACTTTGAGAGATTATCAATAAGACAAGTTAGAGGGACATTTTACAGACTCTGGGTGTATGCTGGATGATTTTAAAAAGAGATGAAGAAAGTGGTGGCCATCTGCAGGTGGGATACTGCTTGAGTACCAATTATATCCCTTGTGGTAGAAATAGCACTCAGAAGGGCTGGCACACCAATGATAGTTACAGCTGTATAAAGGATAAGATTGCTTTGAGAGTAATTTTAGATAAACAAGAGTGTTCCCAAGACCAAGCCCTGGAGCAATTCATAATGAGGAGGAACCAGCCAAAGTGATTGAGAAAGAATGTCCAGTAATGTAAGAGACTGATATCTTTAAGGCAGGGGAATAGAGAAAAGTTTGTAGTAGAAGAAGAATTTCTATTATTAGCGAGTAGTGATTAAGTCTGATCCTAGAGTACAATCTGGGTACATAACAGAAAGAACCATCTGGGAATTTGTCTAGAGGAAGAAAATGGCTTCACTAATTTTTCTGTTGTTGTTGTTGCTTTGTTTTTAAATAATAAACACTTTTGTATCATGTATAACTTTTTTACCTCTATTTAATCATTATAACAGTTACAACAATGAGGTTTCTGACCTATTTAATCCAGATAACAGTTAAATAAGACTCAGTGATTTGTCCCAAGTTACACCATTTTTAAGTGAATGGCAGGGCTCAAACTATAGTTTGATTCCAGCTGTGGCTTTTCTAATTATTGCTAATTGAAAGTGCAAACCAGTGGTTTTGAAACCTGGCAGCTATCTGTGGCAATTTTAAAATTTGGGGCCCACATATCACCACAGGAAGTTCTAAATTAATTCTATTGATTAATGGGTTTAATTAATTGGATGACTGCTAGAGTATGTTCATTAGGAAAACCACTTTTCCAGATATTTCCACAAAATTGGTATTTCGATATTCTGCTTTTTCTAAAGTCCAATACAAGAAAACCATGCTAGACTTTCTGAATCAGAATCTCATAGGATGGAGTTTGTTAGTATTGATTAAACCAGCTTCCTAGGTGATTTTTAATATACAACAGATTTCAAAATGTTGCAGCAAACAGATTCCCAAATATTGCTGCATATTAAAATGATCTGGGAACATTTTTAAAATCTGAATGCCCAGGTTATACCAAGGGGATAAGCACGAGCTATCAGTAAGAGTTAAAGCTTTAAAGCTTTCCAGGTGATTTCAAAGTGCAGCAAAATTTGGGAACCACTGGCACAAAAGCTCCAGCAAGATGAAAAAGCGATGCAGATTACGTAAATTGATATTATGAAGCTATTAGTGTGAAACAAACTATTACTTCACTATAAAATGACTATTTCATATAGTTTAATTTAAAATACAATAGTGTCTATTAAAATTTTTGCAGAAGAATTTATTTGCCTTTCATTACATGTTTTGCAGAAACCATATCTTTGTTCTAGAGAATACAGACAATAGTAAAGTTTATAGGCAGAAAAATAACTTCTAAATTGAATTCATTTTTTAGCCTCACTTTAACTTTGTTTTTTAGTCTTGAAGTTTGGCAGAACACAGTTTAAAACCATTACATCACCTTTCTCATATGCAGATGAAAACATTGCACTGTAAGTTTGCACTTATTATTTTTTTTCAGAGTTTCAATTTATTTTATTGAAGTGAAATTAACTGCTCTGGTTAGTTGGAACATTTTGAACACTTTGTCTTTTGATTTTAAAAACACATTCCAAGGTCGAATTCACAGCAAGTAAACTAATTGAGCCCAGAGAAATTGAAAATGATGAGAAGAATTGGTTTAGCCAAATGTTACATAAATTTGCCCCTCAGCATCCTTTTGCTAATAAATCCACAGTTTACACTTCTGCTGCAAACCTGCCCTGAATCAGTTAGCATAATGAAGATGCTTTCATGTTAAGCAGTAATGTGTCTCTGCCAGAGAAGCCTCTTGGCTCTCTGATAGGCTGGAGCAGATCCAATTTATCCTGACTGCTAAACAAGTCAGGGTTCCACCTGCTGTGTGGAAGATGCTGGTGGGGCACAGGTGAAACAATCTAAAACTTAAAACATTATAGAACCATAACCATATATCATGCTTATGCTTTTTTGAATTTCAAAATATTTTCAACAATAAATTCTAATTTCTAAGTATTAATGCAAATATGTTGACAGAAGAAATGATGAAATGACCTGATTTAACTATATGGCTCAAAAAATATTTATTAAAACCTATTTGAATATTATATGTAAAATATCGTCACCTTTATTGGGATTAGTGATTCATTGTAAATTTTTATGGGTAAACTTACATTTTCAGAAGCCCCACCTAGGGACTAATTTTTTTTAATTTTTAATTTTTTTCATATGTACTTTTAGATACAGAAATACAAGCAAAAGAAAAGAGATAAACTAATGATTAAAATACACAATATATTGTTTTACTTTACCTTTTTTCACTTCTATAGTAGTTTTGAGCTTTTTAAAATATGACATAGGTTCCTATTTTTGTTTATTAGTTTATGTTTCAAATACTTTGGGATCCTGTTTAGTAAAAATTCCATTTTGTTATTACCTCCTTTTGTATTTGAACATGATATTTGCTACTCATAATGAAAATCTTTTTTAAGGAGTTATTTCAGATGTAAGGTATGTATAGAAGCATTGGTTCATTTAGTTTAATATATTTTTCTTTTAAAATATTTTGAGGCATTCTTTAAGTAGTGGAATAACATATTAAAGGTATTATTTTTAAGTATTGGTCTGTATCAGGCAATTTTCAAGGCATTTTAAATTTATTATTTTACTCAATCATCTTAAGCTTCTAATGAGATCATTAGCTCTTGTTTTTAGGTGAGCAATTAATGCTCAGAGTTCATATATTTTGTCCAGATATATCAGGTAAATTGCAAAACCCAACTTTGAACAACCGTTTATTTGACTTGAATGTCCATGTTTTCCCACTCTGGGAAAAATGGAAAATTTTATTAAATGTGTAAGAAGGTTCCAAAGAAATAATGAATACTAATGATTTATTACTGGAGATATATAAAGATAAATGTGGCAATTTTTTTAAGTAAAAACATTGTCCGAAGGGTCCAAAATGTTAAATTTACACATTTTCATGGTGATAAGTAACTACTTTTTTGTGTGTACATACAAGTGGATGTTTGGCAATTCAATGCAAAATATTTATCTTGACACAAACATTTTATCTGTGCAGTGGCTGATGTATTACAGCAAATCAGAACAGAATACTAAGTTATAAAAATTTTGGTGACTGCGTATTCAAAATATGCAATTCTGAAGAGACGTTAGTACCTTCTTTTTGCTAACCAGATATGGAAATTAAGAGCAGAAAGAGAAAATGCTACCTTTATGGATTATAGATGTAGTCTACCTTTGTTTTGCCAAAATCCCTAAAAGGTAGGATCTGGATAAAATAAAACTAGCTGTGAGGCTTTATCTGGCTAAACGGAGAAGTATCTGAAAGAGCTGGCAAAGCTATGTCTATTCCTTCTTTGGAAACACTTGACATTTTTCTGTCATTGAGCTTGGGGATGTCAAATAATTTTAAATTCTTGGTTGCTGGAATAAGCTACTGTAGAAACATATGCATGCATAGGTCTACTAAGGAACTTTGATGGTCAGAAGGCACCTTACACAGATGATACAGGTAACTTTACATATTATTTTTTTAATTACTCCACCAGGGCTTAGAGAGATGGTTTTTATTAAATTTCTCAAGCTAATGTCATCAATACTCTATCCATCTTTTTTTTTAAAGAAAAAAAGAGAAATGCAACTACTTTTGTATGTTTATTTTGTTTCTTAATGGAGTCTTCAGGTTTTTTATTTATTTATTTATTTTTTAATTATACTTTAAGTTCTAGGGTACATGTGCACAATGTGCAGTTTTGTTACATGTGTATACATGTGCCATGTTGGTGTGTTGCACCCATTAACTCATCATTTACATTAGGCGTATCTCCTAATGCTATCCCTCCCCCCTCCTGCCACCCCACAACAGGCCCCAATGTGTGATGTTCCCCACTCTGTGTCCAAGTGTTTTCATTGTTCAGTTCCCACATATGAGTGAGAACATGCAGTGTTTGGTTTTCTGTCCTTACGATAGTTTGCTCAGAATGACGGTTTCCAGCTTCATACATGTCCCTACAAAGGACATGAACTCATCCTTTTCTTATGGCTGCATAGTATTCCATGGTGTATATGTGCCACATTTTCTTAATCCAGTCTATCATTGTTGGACATTTGGGTTGGTTCCAAGTCTTTGCTATTGTGAATAGTGCCGCAATAAACATATGTGTGCATGTGTCTTTATAGTAGAATAATTTTTAATCCTTTGGGTATATACCCAGTAATGGGATGGCTGGGTCAAATGGTATTTCTAGTTCTAGATCCTTGAGGAATCGCCACACTGTCTTCCACAATGGTTGAACTAGTTTACAGTCCCACCAACAGTGTCAAAGTGTCCCTGTTTCTCCACATCCTCTCCAGCACCTGTTGTTTCCTAACTTTTTAATGATTGTCATTCTAACTGGTGTGAGATGGTATCTCATTGTGGTTTTGATTTGCATTTCTCTGATGGCCAGTGATGATGAACATTTTTTGTGTGTGTTTGTTGGCTGCATAAATGTCTTCTTTTGAGAAGTGTGTGTTCATATCCTTTGCCCACGTTTTGATGGGGTTGTTTGATTTTTTCTTGTAAATTTGTTTAAGTTCTTTGTAGATTCTGGATATTAGCCCTTTGTCAGATGGCTAGATTGTAAAAATTTTCTCCCATTCTGTAGGTTGCCTGTTCACTGTGATGGTAGTTTCTTTTGCTATGCAGAAGCTCTTTAGTTTAGTTAGATCTCATTTGTCAATTTTGGCTTTTATTGCCATTTTATTTTTGGTGTTTTAGACATGAAGTCCTTACCCATGCCTATGTCCTGAATAGTATTGCCTAGGTTTTCTTCTAGGGTTTTTATGGTTTTAGGTCTAAAATTTAAATCTTTAATCCAACTTGAATTAATTTTCTGTATAAAGTGTAAGGAAGGGATCTCATTATTTTATTCACTTGTCCATTTCCTTATAAATTCATTCCTTTACTTAGTAAGCATTTACATAGGGTCTACTATACTTTAGTACTATGCTAGTGTCTACCATTTATTTGCTATATGGCTATCATATATAGTGACTAACATAATATATATTTGAACCAGGTTTGTAAGATCCGTGGTCTAACTGAACTTACATTTAGTAAAAGGAAAAGCGATGATATATACATAAAACATAAACAAGGTAACTCCTGACTGTGGTTACCATGAAGTTAATAAGAAAGATTATTTTGTAAAAGATGATCATTAAAGGGTCATCTGAAATATGACATCTGAGCTGAAATATGACATCTGAGCTGAGCTCCTCCAGTTATTAAGACACTAAGATGAGAAAAGGCTTGACGCTTCTTATGGCAAATAGGGAGGAAGTTAGGAAAGGTATAACATGAGGGAGGAGATAGAGGTAAGGTCTCTATTATGAGATGAAGTTGGAAAGGAGGTCAGAGACCATCACGATAAGCATTGTAGGCTAGGTCTTTACATTTGGCTTTTATTTTGAGAGTATTAAAGTTTTTAAACAGGGAAATAAAATTATTGATTTATATTTTTTAAATGTTACCTTGACTGCTGTGTGGAGAATTAACTCTTTGGATCATAAGTCAATCAGGGAAACACATTAGGAAGTTATTTCAATAATCTAGAGGTGGTATAATGATGACAGTTGACAGAAAAGAGGATGACTTTTAGATATATATATTTTTAGTAAAAATTGGAGGGATAGATAAGATAGAATCTTAGCTAAAGAGAGGAATAAAGAATTTCTTTAAATTGTGTTTTCCAAAAAAATATAAGGATTTAGGTACTATACACTAAAGAAAAGGTAGGAATGTAAAATGTTAGATATTTAAGAAAATAGAGAAGAGCAAGAATTCCAATGATGTACTTTTTTTTTTTTTGGAGGAGGCCATTTTGAAAGGCTAAAATTTACTATTTAAGGAGTAGGTATTTATTTATTCATTTGTTTATTTATTATACTGCAGAACGTGCAGGTTTGTTACATAGGTGTACACGTGCCATGGTGGTTTGCTGCACTCATCAACCTGTCATCTACATTAGGTATTTCTCCTAATGTTATCCCTCCCCTAGCTCCCCATCCCACAACAGGCCCTGGGGTGTGATGTTCCCCTCCCTGTGTCCATGTGTTCTCATTAATCAACTCCCATCTATGAGTGAGAACATATGGTGTTTGGTTTTCTGTTCTTGCGTTAGTTTGCTGAGAATGATGGTTTCAAGCTTCATCCATGTCCTTGCAAAGGACATGAACTCATCCTTTTTTATGGCCACATAGTATTCCATGGTGTATATGTGCCACATTTACTTATGCAGTCTATCATTGATGGGCATTTGGGTTGGTTAAATGTCTTTGCTATTGTAAACTGTGCCACAATAAACATACGTGTGCATGTGTCTTTACAGTAGAATGATTTATAATACTTTGGGTATATACTCAGTAATGGGATTGCTGAGTCAAATGATATTTCTGGTTCTAGATCCTTAAGGAATTGCCACACTGTCTTCCACAATGGTTGAACTAATTTACACTTCCACCAACAGTGTAAAAGCATTCCTGTTTCTCCACATCATCTCCAGCATCTGTTGTTTCCTGACTTATTAATGATCGCCATACTAACTGGCATGAGATGGTTTCTCATTGTGGTTTTGATTTGCATTTCTCTAATGACCAGTGGTAATGAACTTTCTTTCATATGTTTGTTGGCTGCATAGATGTCTTCTTTTGAGAAGTGTCTGTTGGTATCCTTCCCCCACTTTTTGATGGGGTTGTTTTTTTCTTGTAAATTTGTTTAAGTTCTTTGTAGATTCTGGATATTAGCCCTTTGTCAGATGGATAAATTGCAAAAATTTTCTCCCATTCTCTAGGTTGCCTGTTCACTCTGATGATAGTTTCTTTTGCTGTGCAGAAGCTCTCTAGTTTGATTAGTTCCCATTTGTCAACTTTGGCTTTTGTTGCCATTGCTTTTGGTGTTTTAGTCATGAAGTCTTTGCCCATGCCTATGTCCTGAATTGTATTGTCTAGGATTTTTTAAGGGTTTTCATGGTTTTAGGTCTTACATTTATGTCTTTAATAAATCTTGAGTTAATTTTTGTATAAGGTGTAAGGAAGGGATCTAGTTTCCGTTTTTTGCATATGACTAACCAGTTTTCCCAACACCATTTATTAAATAGGGAATCCTTTCCCCATTGCTTGTTTTTGTCAGGTTTGTCAAAGATCAGATGTTTGTAGGTGTGTGGTGTTATTTCTGAGGCCTCTGTTCTGTTCCAGTGGTCTGTATATCTGTTTTGATACCAGTACCATGCTGTTTTGGTTACTATAGCCTTGTAGTATAGTTTGAAGTCAGGTAGTGTGATGCCTCCAGCTTTGTTCTTTTTGCTTAGGACTGTCTTGACTATATGGGCTCTTTTTTTGGTTTCATATGAACTTTAAAGTAGTTTTTTCCAATTCTGGGAAGAAAGTCAATGGTAGCTTAATGGTGATAGCATTGAATCTATAAATTACTTTGGACAGTATGGCCATTTTTACGATATTGATTCTTCCAATCCATGAGCATGGAATGTTTTTCCCTTTGTTTGTGTCCTCTCTCATTTTCTTGAGCAGTGGTTTGCAGTTCTCCTTGAAGAGGTCCTTCACATCCCTTGTAAGCTGGATTCCTAGGTATTTTATTATCTGTGTAGCAATTGTGAATGGGAGTTCACTCATGATTTGGCTCTCTGTTTGTCTGTTATTGTTGTATAGGAATGCTTGCGATTTTTGTAACCTGAGACTTTGCTGAAGTTGCTTATCAGCTTAAGGAGTTTTTGGGCTGAGACTATAGGGTTTTCTAAATATACAATCATGTAATCTGCAAGTAGAAACAATGTGACCTCCTCTCTTCCTATTTGAATATGCTTTATTTCTTTCTCTTGCCTGATTGCCCTGGCCAGAACTTCCAATACTGTGTTGAATAGGAGTGGTGAGAGAAGGAATCCTTGTCTTGTGACAGTTTTCCAAGGGAGTGCTTCCAGCTTTTGTCCATTCAATATGATCTTCGCTATGGGTTTATCATAAATAGCTCTTATTATTTTGAGATATGTTCCATCAATAGCTAGTTTATTGAGTGTTTTCAGCATGAAGTGGTGTTGAATTTTATTGAAGGCCTTTTCTGCATCTATTGAGATAATCATGTAGTTTTTGTCATTGGTTTGGTTTGTGTGATGGATTACGTTTATTGATTTGCGTATGTTGAAAGAGCCTTGCATCCCAAGAATGAAGCTGACTTGATCCTGTTGGATAAGCTTTTTGATGTGCTGCTGGATTTGGTTTGCCAGTATTTGATTGAGGATTTTCACATCAGTGTTCATCAGGGATACTGGCCTGAAATTTTCTTTTTTTGTTGAGTCTCTGCCAGGTTTTGGTATCAAGATGATGCTGGACTCATAAAATGAGTTAGGGAGGAGTTCCTTTTTTTCTATTGTTTAGAATGGTTTCAGAAGGAATGGTACCAGCTCCTCTTGGTACCTCTGGTAGAATTCGGCAGTGTATCTATCTGGTCCTGGAGTTTTTTGGTTGTTAGGCTTTTAATTACTGCCTCAATTTCAGAACTTGTTATTGACCTATTCAGGGATTTGACTTCTTCTTGGTTTAGACTTCAGAGGGTGTAGGTGTCCAGGAATTTATCCATTTCTTCTAGGTTTTCTAGTTTATTTGCATAGACGTGTTTATAGTATTCTCCGATGGTTGTTTGTATTTCTGTGGGATTGGTGGGGATATCCCCTTTCTCATTTTTTATTGTGTCTATTTGATTCTTCTCTCTTTTCTTCTTTATTAGTCTGGCTAGCGGTCTATTTTATTGATCTTTTCAAAAAACCAACTCCTGGATTCATTGATTTTTTGAAGGGTTTTTCATGTCTCTATCTCCTTCAGTTCTGGTCTGATCTTAGTTATTTCTTGTCTTATGCTAGCTTTTGAATTTGTTTACTCTTGCTTCTCTAGTTCTTTTAAATGTAGTATTTTTAAGTTCAAAAAGCATTTGGAGCTTAGAGAAGAGTTTACTAGAGGATTCAAAACAGAACCCCCTAATCAAAGCACACAATAGAGAGAATAATCTAAGTACTATTGGAAAGTAGTGGTCAGAGAATAGAAAGAAAAGCAGGGCAGTATACTGCCTGAAAATTCGAGAGAAAAATGTTTTATGATGAATGGTCAAAGATGCCAAATGCTGCACAAGCTCAAGATTAAAGATGAAAGTTTGGCCGGGCGTGGTGGGTTCATACCTGTAATCCCACCACTTTTGGAGGCCGAGGCAGACAGATCACCTGAGGTCAGGAGTTCGAAAAAAAAAAAAAACTGGCCAACGTGGTGAAACTGCGTCTCTACTAAAAAACATAAAAATAGCCGAGTTTGATGGTGGGCACCTGTAATCCCAGCTACTCAGGAGGCTGATGCAGGAGAATCACTTGAACCCAGGAGACGGAGGTTGCAGTGAGCCAAGATTGCACCACCGCACTCTATCCTGGGCAACAGAGTGGGACTCCATTCCAAAGGAAAAAAAAAAAAAAAGATGAAAGCTTGTGTGCAATAAATACAATTTGTCAATGTTATTTTTAAAAAGCCTTATTCCATTATACTTCATAAAGGGCAGAGTTTGACTCATTTATTCAACTTTTGCCTGATTCTAAAAATAAATAGTATCAATAGATATAACAAAAGTTATTTTGCTAGAAATTCTGAAAAAAAGAAGTATCATTAAAAACTTTATTAGAAATTAGCATAAAAAATCTCTTTGTGTGTAGTAATGAAGTTATAGCCCTACCCTGTTTAAGAAGCAAACAAAACAAAACAAAACAAAAAAACAAATTTCAGGGATTAGAAATGAAACAAATTCAATTCTTATATAACAGTATAATTTCTTCAACTAGTTTTATACCAAACGTGACATACTTAAGAAAAAAAATCACAGGTTACTTGATGTTTTCTTGCTACACAGGAAAAAAATATAAATTTAAAAATATTTCAGATTTTCAAGCCTGGTTACAATGTGATAGAATAAAAACAAAATGAGAATTGCAGTTTGGGAATACAAGGGAATAAAATTCTCTTCTACTGAAGGTTTAGCTATAAGGAAAACAACTTAATTTCCAGCGTAGAGAAGTAAGTTTTAATTATAGTTTTAATATTTGATTTTTCTGGGAATTTAATTGATGAATGCCATAATATCATTCTAGGCAGTCTGTTAAAAAATTTGGTATTTTTCAAAGCTGTTCGTTGAAACCTTCCTTTGACAAGTATTATGTAACCAGAACAAGAGGGTAAATTGAACCATAAATCTGCTACATGTTTAATTTAAAACAAAATTTGTACCTGATAAAGAATAGAAACCATAACTTTTAGCTCTATATAGTGTTATACATAATTTATAAAAATCTTAAGGCAGTTGCAACACCTGAAATTAAATAGGAAATTAAGTTATTCCCTGAAGGTAGTGGAGATTGTTGTAAGAAATATATTGAAAAATAAATACGCAAATGGTGCATACTATTGTGTACATTACTCAGCAGCCGTGTTCTCATTACAAATCCCTCACCACATTTCTCTGAATACTACTTTATCCTCTTGAGTATGATGCTTCTAGCATAAGTAAATTTTACTCTTATAAAAATATGTTTTACATGACAAACTTGACTTTTAGAGTGGCTGAAGTAGATCTTTTGAAAATGTTGTGAAAGCATCATTATCACCAAATAACATTCTTATTCAGTGAAGAACACATGATAAGGGCATTGATTTATTTAGAAATATTAATGGGTTCAATTATTCATTTGAAAAATACATTTAGTGTCTACAATATACCAGGTACCTGCCTAGATGCCGGGGAACTATTAGAGAGCAAAACAAACATCCTCGCCTTCATAGGGTTTATAAAAGTTATACGTATTCATTAAATAAAAGTTTTGAATAAAATAAAATCAAGAAGAAAATACACTGAATAAAAATTTGTTACTGTCTGACTAATCTTTACTCTTTCCCTTTCTGGTACAGTCTCATATATCCATCCCATGGACTAATGTTATATGTATCATATTAAAATCCTTTTTCGTTCAAGTCCAGACAAGAAAACAAATCTAGATCTTGTAGCTAAACTTACTCATTATGACACAAATTTACTGTGTGCTAGGATCTGTGCTCAGAAAAACAGTTAGGAGCACAGCCAATTGGTTATAGGCCCTTATCCACACAGTTTACAGGCTAAAAGGTAGGACTGACATTCATTTCACACACAAATTATGGCTAGTTTTTTGCAAGAATATACATGAATGGCTAGAAGAGGAAAGAAGTATTGAGACTAACACCTCAAAGTCTTAAATGTAACTGAATTTACCCCTTCACATATCCCAAGTTGATTTCCATCTTGATCCAAGATATCAGATGCTCTGAAGCCCTCCCCACCAATACTCTGCTATTTACATTGCCTTATGTACTAGCTTCTTTTACATCAACTCCCATTGCTTTTATCCTTCTAAGAATTGTCTTTCCTCTGGAACTTTGTACTGTGCTATAAAACAAACAAAAAAACAGCTACAGTCTCAACTCTTTCTAAAGTTTTCTCCCCTGCCTAGTATTAAACAAAACTCTACTTTCTATGCCGACTTGTTAAGGACTGCTGCTTATGCTGGCATGGTGGATGGAATGCAGCCATTACTAATGATGCTTTTAGATCATTCAGGTTCTACAAAAAAATAAATAATAAATAAATAAATAATGCATTTATTTGGGACATGTGGCTAACCACCAGCTTCTCCTTATCTCTTCTAATTCAGTGAAGAACTTAGCTGCATTATCTTTTTCTCCATTCTCTGCAGGTTTTGGAACTTTTGTGAGAACTGCCTATGATCCACTCAAACAAAGCTTTATGCTCTCAGTTCTTTGACTTAATGATCTTTAATGAACTTCAGATGTTTTTAACATAATAGAAACTGGTTATAACTCTGAAGACTAAGTTGATTTCTCTTTGTGAGTTTGTTCTAAAATCATCTATCCTGTTATTTAAGCCAATAACAGATGTGATCTCCTTTGACTCTTCTCTACCTTTCATCTTCACTTGTTAAAAATTCCAGCTCCTAAATTTCTTTTGAATCTCAATGTTTGTTCTTATTTATTCACTGTCACCACTCTAGACCATGCCACTATATCACTATGCTGAAATGCCACTAAAGACACTTGAGTTCTCAATTATTCCACTGTACTAAATTATTCCAGTTCTCAATTATTCCACTGTACTAAAAATATTGGTTTCTAGCAATTTTTCCACTATACTAAAAATATCTTGGGACGCTATTGTCTTTTAGCATTCAGTAAAGCACCAAATAGAATACTGATAATTACTTTCACATGCAGCTTACCAGGGATATGAAACATAAAATATAGAAAAATTACAAACATTAGAGGTTACAGAAATACTTTGTAAACATTATTTTGTTGTATATCTTAACTGTAGATTGGCATCTATGAAATATATAGCATTTTTGTCCTTCAACATTTTAGCAATAAATGATTGTAATGGTTGTCTTGTATTTGTGAGAGGCACATTGTTTGCCGACATTCCCTATGTTGTTCACATCTAAGCTCTATAACTTGAGCTATAGGCCAGACAATCCTAGCACTCAATTTTATGTCATCGGGAATGCAAAAATAAGGTGCCTGCATTAGATAATTCCAAATATTCACATCAAAGTCAACCAGAAAATTATGGACTGAAAATTACTGTAAGCCTTTGGCTAGATGTTAAGTCTATGACTATATGACATCCAAAATTTTGATATGTGAGGGTTTCTATTTAAGAGATAGATGCTCCTGGACTTCTAATACATTACTGAGAGCTCAACCTTAATTGCTCAATATGTGGCTGTTTCTCTGTTGGTACTGAGTGAAATGCGGCATTTTCCAGGCTATATTTCTTTTGAAGAAGACTGATAGTAATTGTTTCTCTATGTCAGTGATATTAGATAGCACCAAAAATGTCATCAGGTAGAGATACTTTGCCAGTAACTCATTCTTCTTTCTCTCCAAGCACAAAATTTGACATTAAATATGCTATATCGGTTTTGTAAAGTTCTTGGCATACTAAGACTTCCTTATACTTCTGAAGACTGATATTTCTGTGGTTTTGAGCTTTTCACATTTTTGAAAAACAAAATCCATCAATTTTTTATTGAAAGGAATTATTTTATACTCGTGCTTCTGAGGGAAAATTTCAATTGATGTATGAAAAATTATCATATTTTATTTAAAATAATGCAAAACCTTTGTTGACTTTACATTATGGTTTGATAAAGTTTTATAACAATGTGAACTGGAGGCAAGTATATACTCCCAAAGAGAACATCCAATTTATGGACATTTTTTATATTACCTACTTGAAATTTTTCTTTTTAAAGCTGTATGTTGAAAATCATTGACTTGCTTTAGAATACTGTATATAATCATTAATCCCAATGTAATTCTTAGAAAAGTTAAAATTATTGCTCAAAATCACAGAGCTAGAATGTGATAGAAGATGGATTGAATGCCAGGTCATTGAGTCTTTGAGCACAATATCATTTTAATCCAATTTTGCTTCTCAGCATTTCAATGGGTTAAGGAAATTCACTGTATCTCATTATCAATATTGCATGCATATTAAATTGTGGTATTACAAATTAAAACAGAACTAAGTTCTTTTCAGTAGAACAATGAATCACGAAAAAGTTTAAGAAGAAATAATGTCTTCATCAGGATATAAGGAAAAAACATTCTCAAGAAGAAATTTTTCTCACATACAATCATTTATTATTAATAAGTTTGTTAGCCAGTAGAGGGCTAGAAAAAGTAACTTTTAAACTTATTTTGGAGGCTTAATGTGAGCTCAGGCTCCCTGCCACTTATGTGATTTACAGCAGCATGCACTGGAATTCACATAGGGAAGAGACAATGCCCCAGAGTCAGGATTTGGTTAGACTTCAGGGATGCCCTCTCTCACCACTCCTATTCAACATAGTGTTGGAAGTTCTGGCCAGGGAAATTAGGCAGAAGAAGGAAATCAAGGGTATTGAATTAGGAAAAGAGGAAGTCAAATTGTCCCTGTTTGCAGATGACATGATTGCATATGTAGAAAACCCCATTGTCTCAGCCCAAAATCTCCTTAAGCTGATAAGCAACTTCAGCAAAGTCTCAGGATACAAAATCAATGTACAAAAATCACAAGCATTCTTATACACCAATAACAGACAAACAGAGAGCCAAATCATGAGTGAACTCCCATTCACAATTGCTTCAAAGAGAATAAAATACCAAGGAATCCAACTTACAAGGGATGTGAAGGACCTCTTCAAGGAGAACTACAAACCACTGCTCAAGGAAATAAAAGAGGATACAAACAAATGGAAGAACATTCCATGCTCATGGGTAGGAAGAATCAATATTGTGAAAATGGCCATACTGCCCAAGGTAATTTATAGATTCAATGCCATCCCCATCAAGCTACCAGTGACTTTCTTCACAGAATTGGAAAAAACTACTTTAAAGTTCATATGGCGCCAAAAAAGAGTCCGCATCGCCAAGTCAATCCTAAGCCAAAAGAACAAAGCTGGAGGCATCAGGCTACCTGACTTCAAACTATACTACAAGGCTACAGTAACCAAAACAGCATGGTACTGGTACCAAAACAGAGATATAGATCAATGGAACAGAACAGAGCACTCAGAAATAACGCTGCATATCTACAACTATCTGATCTTTGACAAACCTGAGAAAAACAAGCAATGGGGAAAGGATTCCCTATTTAATAAATGGTGCTGGGAAAACTGGCTAGCCATACGTAGAAAGCTGAAACTGGATCCCTTCCTTACACCTTATACAAAAATTAATTCAAGATGGATTAAAGACTTAAATGTTAGACCTAAAACCATAAAAACCCTAGAAGAAAACCTAGGCATTACCATTCAGGACATAGGCATGGGCAAGGACTTCATGCCTAAAACACCAAAAACAATGGCAACAAAAGCCAAAATTGACAAATGGGATCTAATTAACTAAAGAGCTTCTGCACAGCAAAAGAAACTACCATCACAGTGAACAGGCAACCAAACAGAATGGGAGAAAATTTTTGCAACCTACTCATCTGACAAAGAGCTAATATCCAGAATCTACAATGAACTCAAACAAATTTACAAGAAAAAAACAAACAACGCCATCAAAAAGTGGGCGAAGGATATGAACAGACACTTCTCAAAAGAAGACATTTATGCAGCCAAAAAACACATGAAAAAATGCTCACCATCACTGGCTATCAGAGAAATGCAAATCAAAACCACAATGAGATACCATCTCACACCAGTTAGAATGGCAATCATTAAAAAGTCAGGAAACAACAGGTGCTGGAGAGGATGTGGAGAAATAGGAACACTTTTACACTGTTGGTGGGACTGTAAACTAGTTCAACCATGGTGGAAGTCAGTGTGGCGATTCCTCAGGGATCTACAACTAGAAATACCATTTGACCCAGCCATCCCATTACTGGGTATATACACAAAGGACTCTAAATCATGCTGCTCTAAAGACACATGCACACGTATGTTTATTGTGGCACTATTCATAATAGCAAAGACTTGGAACCAACCCAAATGTCCAACAATGATAGACTGGATTAAGAAAATGTGGCACATATACACCATGGAATACTATGCAGCCATAAAAAATGATGAGTTCATGTCCTTTGTAGGGACATGGATGAAATTGGAAATCATCATTCTCAGTAAACTATCGCAAGAACAAAAAACCAAACACCACATATTCTCACTCATAGGTGGGAATTGAACAATGAGAACACATGGACACAGGAAGGGGAACATCACACTCTGGGGACTGTTGTGGGGTGAGGGGAGGGGGAAAGGATAGCTTTAGGAGATATACCTAATGCTAAATGACGAGTTAATGGGTGCAGCACACCAGCATGGCACATGTATACATATGTAACTAACCTGCACATTGTGCACATGTACCCTAAAACTTAAAGTATAATAATAATAAAAGAAAAGAAAAGAAAAAAAGACTTGCAGTTGGCATCATGTCAACCCTAGGTCTGGAAAGAAGTTGACCAATTCTCAAGGTAGATATTACAGTACTTGCTGGGTTCTTACACTTCAGTAGTGCAGGCATAGAGCACTTTTCTGCAATATTTTATCGGATCAGCATAGATTGCATGCCTCTAACCTCAACAATGAACATACAACTCTGACTTCAGTTATGTAGATTAACCAGTTACTAATTTTACTAGTGAAGAGTTGTTTCTAATATTCATCATGTTAAATAGCAAAACTTCTAGTTGATAGCTCAAACCCTTATAGTATGTTTACATCTAACATTGTTATCTGTTTAAATATTTAAAATCAATTGTATAACACATAACAGCTATATTTGTCTATTTAAAAAATACAAAGTAAATTTGTAAGATAAATGAGAGAAGAAGGTCTTCTTTTGTATCTTTTGTGCATATAATCATTATTACGTTGGATGTTTTTGTATTCTGTGTCTCTTTACCCTACCTTGAGTGGGAGGGGTATATGCAGGCCTCTGCATTTAACCACAGATTAGACACATAGAGTGCTATTAGCCTTCTTCATTATCCATTCCTGTGATACCATCTTCAAGTCTCAGATCACAATTAAAAATGAGCTTAATTAAATTAGCTGGGTGTGGTGGCATGCCCCTATAGTTCTAGCTACTTAGGAGGCTGAGGTGGGAAGTTTGCTTGAGCCAAGGAAATCAAGGCTGTAGTGAGCTCTAGTTGTGCCACTGTACTCTAGCCTGGTCAACAATGTGAGATCTTGTCTCCAAAATATGAATAAATAAAACAGCTTGATATGCAGAGTAACTATTTGTAATGGCCAGCAATATTTACCTAATGAAATATTACCCAATGAAATTTACGTATAGGACTGAAGTAGATATCTTTTTTTAATTGTATGTCTTATGACTAACGGAGTCAAATAATAATCTGCATTTGATTAGCAATATAATGAAAGCATTTATTACTTTTTCTGCTCCCTCTTTTCATGATGTTTATTTTCCTCCTTCCTAATAAAATAATAAAAGTAGAAATACAATTTGCTTCATATACATGATATTTAAATAATTGAAACTACATTTCCAATAACAGGGAAGTGGTTCAATAATGATTTTATATATTTCTATATGTCTAGAATGTATCACATTGTATGACCTGTAATCCTATTTAAAAAGATTACCTCATGATAAAAAAACCTCATGATACAATGTTTACTGAATAAAGCATAATTTCAAACAATATATATGTATTCTATATTATCCTCATTTTTTAGAGCCTCTTTCAGGCATAAACTAGGACAGTGGTTCACAATATATACTATGAGGACCCTGGGGTTTGAGTTCATAAGACTCTTCACTGCAAGGCATAATAAACCATATGTAAAAATTCATTCAAAGTGGAAGACAGATCTATTGGCTTAAATATGACAATATTTTAAAAATTCAAATGTTTAAAAAAATTCAGATTTTACATATCATCTAATTTTGAAATAAATACCATTTTTGGATTTTGGTATAGTATCAAAGAAGAACATACTAAATTTTCTAAAAAGGCCTTAAAATATTCATTGTTTTGCCAATCTTATATATGGATGAGGCTGAATTTTATGTATAAATTTTAGCAAAAATAATATGTTGCAACAGTTTGAAAACATAAATAGATGAAACAATTCAGCAGTCTTTAAAAGCCAGATAATAAAGAGATTTGTCAAAACGACAATCTTTTAATACTTTTGGTTTTGGCAGTTTTAACAAAAAACTATTTTAGCATTTCAAAGTGTAAAAGAATCCTGTGGTAAAGACAGTTTGAACCATTGATCTTGGATATTATCATCAGTTGCAAATTTCACAGGCATAGCCTCATTTTGTAGATCCTCATCACAGAAAATAATGCATATGTGAAAAGATAAATTATAACTACCTTCAAAAATAGCTCAACTTGCATTATTTAAAGTAGCAGTTTAAATTTTAGAATAATATATGAAAGTTGAAACTCTCCGAAATGAGCATACTAGCAAGTAAGTACCAGTTGAGTACATATTAAACTGGTAAAACAAACAAACAAACAAACAAAAAACATGCAAATTGTAATGACAACAAGATAGTTTAATAAGAATCTCCAGACTCCCCTTCCTCTATGGAGACATAAGCATAACAACCATATACAAACTAATTGCTCATCTGAGTAATCTAAAAGCCACCTTAAAGGTTTCTTCGTCACAAATGAGCAAAAGCCAACAACATAAAAGCTCCATAGAAAAATTAATGGCACTTAATCACCTGCATTCCTTTTCCCAAGTATTCAACCAAGAATATAGTATCTGGCAAAAACTGTCTTTCAAAAATGAAGGCAGAACTGTGACTTGCCAACACAACCTAAAGAGGTGAGAGTTCATCAACACTGGACCTTCCCTGAAAGAGAGGCCTAAAGACAGTCTTTCAGATTAAAATGAAAAGACAATAAAAATAAACAAAATGCATATGAAAATATCAAATTCTCTGGTAAAGGTCAATATATAGACAAATATAGAATTCTGTAGTTTTATAAATGATAAATCACTTTAAAATCTGGTGTAGAGTTTTAAAAACAGAGGCATAAGAGAGTAACTATAAATCACTTATTGAATACAAATAAAAATAGGTTATTAGAATAATTAATAACAAAGTGGGGGGTGCATAGAAAAAAAGAAATTGAGTTTATATGTGGTCAAATATATGAACATACAAACTGTTAAATTGTTATTAGTTTAAAAATAAATTGTTATAACTTTAAAGTGTTTTAAATGACTGTTAACCAGAAAGATAGTATCTATACAACATACGCGAAGGGAAATGAGAGGAAAATCAAAATATGTACAAATTAGCAACGAAACACACAAGGAAGAAGCATGAGAAAAAAGGAAAGACAAAAAAGCTACGATATACAGAAAACAACTGATATAATAGCAATATTAAGTTCATCCCTATCAGTAATTATTTTAAATGTAAATGGTTAAATGCTCCAATTACAAGAAAAAGATTGGCTGAATATATTATGTAAAAAGCACTGTCCAGCTATGTGCTGTCCACAAGAGACTTGTTTAACATCTAAGGACACACATAGGTGGAAAGTGAAATAGTGAAAAAAGATATTCCATGCAATTGTGAACCTAAAGAGAGTAGGGTTGGCCGTATATCAAACAAAATAGGCTTTAATACAATAACTGTCACAAGAGCTAAAGAAGGGGATTATACAATGATGACAGTCAGTTATCAGGAAGATATAACCATTATAAATATATATACATCTAACATTAAAGCTCCTACATAAATGAAGCGTACATTTATAGAACTGAAGGGAGTAATAAATAGCAATACAATAATAGTAGGAGATTTCTCCACTTTCAGTTATGACTAAAACAATAGGCATAAGAAAAGAGAGGACTTGAACATCCCTATAGACCAATTGGACCTAATAGACACAAACAGAACACTCCACCAAGCGACAGCAGAATATATATTCTTCTCAAGTGCACATAAAACATTCTGAAAGACCACTTATTAAAACACAATAAAAATTTTATCAAATTTAAGAACATTGAAACATTGAAATTATACAGTGTATGTTCTCTGACCACAATGAAATGAAACTGGTAATCAATAGCAGAGGGAAAACAAAAAAATCCAAAAAAGTGGAAATTAAATCACTAACTCAAACAACTAATAGATAAAAGAAGAAATCACAGAAAAATCTAGAGAGTATCTAGAGACAAATGAAAATGAAAAATACCACATACCAAAACATATGAGATGGGACAAAAGCAGTACTAAGAGAAAAAATTGTAACAATAAACGCTTACAATTAAAAAGAAAAAAATCTCACATCAACAACCTAACTTTATACCTCAAGGAACTAGAAGGATAAGCTAAAACAAAAGTTTACAGAAAGAATGAAAAAAAATTAGAACAGAGATAAATAAAAAACAGAGTATAGTAAAACATTAGAAAAACATTAATAGGCCGGGCGCGGTCGCTCACGCTTGTAATCCTAGCACTCTGGGAGGACTAGGTGGGTGGATCACCTAAGGTCGGGAGTTCGAGACCAGCCTGACCAATATGGAGAAACCCCATCTCTAATAAAAATACAAAATTAGCTGGGCGTGGTGGTGCATGCCTGTAATCCCAGCTACTCAGGAAGCTGAGGCATGAGAATCGTTTGAATCCAGGAGGCGGAGGTTGCAGTGAGCCGAGATCGCGCCGTTGTACTCCAGCCTGGACAATGAGAGCGAAACTCCCTCTCAAAAAAAAAAAAAAAAAAAAGAAAGAAAAGAAAAGAAGAGAAAAAAATTAATAAAACCAACAGTTTTTTTTTGAAAAGACCAACAAAATTCACAAACCCTTAACTAGTCAGGGTCTTGTTTGCTTTTAACAAAAACGGAGAAAACTCAAATAACTAAAATTAGAAATGAAAGGGGAACATTACAACATATGTTACAAAAATTTTAAAAAAGGAAATATAAAACTACTATGAACAATTATATACTAACAAATTGAATAACTTGGAGGAACTGAATAAATTTATGAAAACATACAACCTACCAATACTATAAATCATGAAGAAATAAAATACTGGAGATGTAAGAAGATCGAAGCAATAATAATAATAATTAATAATAGAAACCTGTTAACAAAGAAAAGCCCAGAACTATATGGCTTCACTAAGGAATTTTTTAAAATGTCATCTTCTTGAAGAAAATTAACAATAGAACAGCAAAAACCTTGACTTGGTCTAATCTTGACTGGTTACTTTTTAGGCCTACCACATAGCCATTACCTTGGCCAGGTGAACACTGACCATCTACTCATATTTAAGAATGAGGCACTAAAAAGCCGATTAGAAGCTCTGTTTGGTTAAATTTTACCATTTTTGGTCCTTGCTTAAAAGTTATCAGTCTGGTCTGCTTTATAATAGAATTGTTGATGTCAGTATGCCTGGGTATATTATTTTGGACTGATCAAATGTCATTGAGAATGATCTTGCAATTTTATCTAAATAGGGCCTAATTTTAATTGGTTAACTGATTTAGGAGGAGAAAGGAGCCTCGTTATCTTTATGCCTGCCTTTCTAGCAAGCTTTGAGAGAAAGCATTAGGAATTGTATTTGTTGTAATTTATGCAGTTTCTAATAGTAGAATAGTTTGGATTGTCTAATTCACCACATCACTAGAAGTGTAACTCTAACATTTATTTTTAAAATAATTGAATATGATAAAATTTGATTATTTAATGTAATGAAATACTTTATCAAGCTTAAATAAGTTGTTACAAATAATTTGTTTATATATAAAATAAACTAGAAATTTGATGTTCAGATACCACAATTTTAGTACCAAGAATATAGATCCATCTTTTTACTAAATTGTTAGTAAAGCCATTCCAAAATTTTGCATAAATTACAGGCCTACAGTAAACATCAAATTTTGGAATAAATCAAGTCCAGTATTCCCAATTATCTTTTACTGTATAAATTTAAAAAAAAATCTTTGTCAGTTTGCATACACCTTTTCCAAGCATATTTAGTTAAGAGTATCAACTATTTATCTCAAAACAGAAATATAAGACCAAGTGATGTAGTTTATTTAGTTCTATTTTATTTTGTTGATTAAGCAAGTCAATAAATACATTATTTTTATGTCTAATATATGTTAAATATTTTGCTTCTGCTAGGCTTTAAAAAAACACAATATATTCTAAATATTGAGGTGCTTGAAGTTTTTTTTTTTTCTTTTTTTTAACTTCTATTTTAAGTTCAAGGGTACAAGCGCAGGTTTGTTACATAGGTAAATTTGTGTAATGGCGGTTTGTTGTACAGATTATTTAGTCAAACATGAATTAAGCCTAGTACCTATTATTTTTTCTGATACTCTCCCTTCTCCCGCCTTTTACCCTCTGAAAGACCCCAGTGTGTAAAGTTTCCCTCCATGTGTTTTCATTATTTATCTCCCACTTGTAAGTGAGAATATGTGGTATTTGGTTTTCTCTTCCTGTATTAGTTTGCTTAGGATAATGGCCTCCAGCTTTATCTATGTCGCTACAAAGGACATGATCTCATTCTTTTTATGGCTGCATAGTATTCCATGGTGTGTATGTACCACATTTTCTTTATCCAGTCTATCATTGATGGGCATTTAGGTTGATTCCATGTCTTTGCTATTGAAAATAGTGCTGCAATAAACATGAATGCATGCATCTTTTTAACAGAGTGATTGATCTTCTTTTGGGTATATACCCAGTAATAGGATTGGTGAGTTCTAATGGTATTTCTGTCGTTAGGTCTTTGAGGAGTCACCACACTATCTTCCACAATGGCTGACTGACCTAATTTACACTTCCACCAACAGTGTGTAAGCATTCCTTTTTCTCCACAACTTCACCAGCATCTGTTATTTTTTGGCTTTTAAATAATAGCCATTCTGACTGGTGTGAAATGGTATTTCATTGTGGTTTTGATTTGGATTTCTCCAATGATCAGTCATGCTGAGCTTTTTTTCATATGATTTTTTGCCGCATATGTGTCTCGTTTTGAAAATTGTAGGTTCATGTCCTTTGCCCACTTTTTAACGAGTTTTTTTTCTTTTAAATTTGTTTGTTTCTTATGGATGCTGGATATTAGACCTTTGTTGGATGCATGGTTTGAAAAAACTTCCTCCCATTCTGTAGGTTGTCTATTTACTCTGATGATAGTTTATTTTGCTGTGCAGAAGCTTATCCACCACGATCACCAGTATACAAGGTTTGTTCAACATGTGCGTATTAATAAATGTGATTCATTACATAAACAGAACTAAATATAAAAAAGACATTATTATCTCAATAGATGCAGGAAAGGCTTTCTATAAAATTCTACATCCATTCATGTTAAAAATTCTCCATCCATTCATGTTAAAAATTCTCAATAAACTAGGCATTGATGGAAGACACGTAAAAATAATAAGAGCCATATATGATAAACCCACAGCCAACATCATACTGAAGGGAATGAAAAAAGATGGAAGTATTCTCCTTGAAAACCGGCACAAAACAATGATGACCTCTCTCAGAACTCCTATTTAACATAGTATTGGATGTTCTGGCCAGGGCAATCAGGCAAGAGAAGGAAATAAAGAGCATCCAAATGGCAGAAGAGGAAGTCAAACTATCCCTGTTTTCAGATGACATGATCCTATATTTAGAAAACCCCATAGTCTCTGCCAAAAAGCATGTTAAGCTGATAAACAACTTCAGCAAAGTCTCAGGATACAAAATCAATATGCAAAACTCACTAGCATTTCTCTACACCAACAACATTCTAGCTGAGAGCAAAATTAGGGGGAACTTCCATTCAAAATTGCCACAAAAAGAATAAGTTGCCTAGGAATACAGGTAATAAGGAGGTGAATGGTCTCAATAAGGAGAACTACAAACTGCTACTCAAAGAAATCAGAGAGGATATGAACAAATGGAAAAACATTCCATATTCATGGATAGGAAGACTCAATATTGTTAAAATGACCATACTGCCCAAAGCAATTTATAGAGTTAATGTTACTTCTATTAATTTATCATTGACATTCTTAAGAGAATTAGAGAAAACTACCTTAAAATTTATATGGAACCTAAAAAGAACCCGAAGAGCCGTGGCAATCCTAAGCAAAAAACAAACACGCAAAAAAAAAAAAAACTGAAGGCATCACACTACCCAACTTCAAACTATACTACAGAGCTTACAGAGCTACAGTAACCAAAACAGCATGATACTGGTACAAAAACAGATGCACAGAACAATAGAAAAGAATAGAGGACCCAGAAATAAGACTGACCGCCCACAGCTATCTGATCTTCAACAAACCTGACAAAAACAAGCAATGGGGTAGGATTTTCTATTCAATAAATGTTGCTGGAATAACTGGCTAGTCATATGCAGTATATTGAAACTGGACCCTTTTCTTACACCATATACAAAAATTAACTCAAGATGGATTAAAGACTTAAATGTAAAATCCAAAACTATAAAAACCCTGGAAAACAACCTAGGCAATGCCATTCAGGACATAGGCATGGGCAAAGACTTCATAGTAAAGACACCAAAAGTAATCATAACAAAAGCAAAAATTGACCATTGAAAATTCAATGTTAATTGATTGCATGACCACAAATAAAAGTTTCCCATAGAAACTTATCTGTAGGAAAATAATGCATTATTTAAAACCACAATTGATATCTAAAAACTTTACTCTTACTAAAGTATCATAATCTTTCTCTGCCATATATGTTTTACGTTTAACTATATAATCAAATAAGCTGCATTGAAACTTCGGAGCATAAGATAAATATTACTCTTCATTATAAAAAATTAGTGATGAGACTGCCAAACTTCTCTGTTTAAAATATATATGTATATATGTTTTGATCTCAACATTTGTATAAAATATTGTATGAAATATGTTAAATATAATATATAATTATATTATATAAATTATATATGCATAAAATTTTACATATGTATATATGTATAAAATTACATATTTATAATTTATAAATTTATAATATAAATATATAAAATATAATGTATTATATATAATTTATACAGCTACCTGATGTATTATAATTTATATATGCATATATGTATAAAAGTTTATGCATATATAATTATATATGTATAAAATATATATTGTATAAAATATTGTATAAAATATATTATATATATTTTATAAAAATGTGATCAAAACTCTTTGTTGTTTTAGCTCCTCTGTGACTTAGTTTCTCCTTCTGTATGAATTTGCAGGACAGAAGGAAAAAATAAGTCACAGAGGAGCTGGAACAACAAATAATTTTGATCCCCATTATTGTAAATTCAAATAGCTGATTTCAGTGGTATTTGGTTAAACAGAGGTAAAGACAAAAAGACTACTGTAATCCAACTTTAATTTCTTATAAACTGGAGAGAAAGCAATACTGTAGTAGGGAATAAAGCAGTGAGCTTACAAGCTCAACAGGTATTATACACTTAGCCATAGGGAGTTGTACAGCCTTGTTGTTATGAGAATTTGAAAACTCATGGTGTAGATACTGGATTTCTCTCCTAACATTGGCCAATCCAATTATATATAAATCCAATGGTATATAAATGGTATAAGTCAATCCATTGACTTATAAATTTCAGAAAACTTCAATATAAACACAGTGAATAATTGAATTATAAAAATATGAATAAAGTCATATGAGCATCAGAAGGAGAAACACATCAATATTTTAGGAAACTGACAAAAATTCAAATTGAAGATAGTATTCCTTTGGGGCCTTGAAATCTGAGTTGAATTGAAGCATGACAGTCAAGAAAGTGGGATGTTTATTAAACAATGAAAAAAAACATGTATAAATAAATAAGAAGCTTCAAAAGGGTATGGAGTATTCAGATCAGTGCTTGAAGTTGTTAGGCTGAAACTTCAGGTATTTACAGGAGGAGTGGTGAGATGTAAAGTTAGAGAAGTGGGCATATTCTAAGTGTTTTTAATTATAAAACTAAAGATATCTCCTTTTTGTCAGTAGGCACTATGAGATTAACTATAACATGATACATATAGATTTTGCAGAAATATCTCTTTTTGCAGGAAGTATCATTAGGGATGATGGGCTTAAATTAGTTGCAGATAACTGAGGCTCTAAAGATAGTGAAAGGTAATGAAACTGGCAGAGGAAGTAACATAGGGAATGGGAAAGAAAATGTCACTATTGGAAATATTTCTGAGGGATAAGCTGGTGATTGTCTGAATGCTAAGATTTTTGAACCACCATAGAGGCATGGTTCCTGTTTCATCTTTTTTCAAAATTTACTGAGGATATTCAGCAGCATATCTTTTAAGAAGGGTCATAGGTGTGTAAAAAATGAAATATAATTATTTATTTACTGTCTTGTACCTAGTTATCAGCTAAATTTCTATTGTGTCAGTAGAAGCCATTTTCAAACTTCTTAGGTTGGGAAAGCCATTAAAAATCCACCAGCATCTCCAGGGATGCTACTTTATAGAATATAATCATTCAGCAAACAGAGAAATTATTAGAAATATCTTTGCACAGTTTTTTTGAAATAATTTTCTAATATTTATCAGTCTCAAAATCAATATCCCTCCAAACTGAAATTCTTATAAGAGGAAAATAATACAACTTGTTTCTGAGATAACACCCTAAGAAAAACTTGGGAAAAGTAGAAAGTGAAAAGATGTCAGGGTGATTATTTTTAACAAAATAATACAAAGAAAATTACACTGTACTTACATAGAAATGATGTCTGAACTATCTCTATGCAAATTACATTGATGTTTTATTGTTAAGCAGTTTCTAGTTCCTTTGTATACTCAGGCAGCAAAAATAACCACTTTATTGAGACCATATACATATAGCAATATTACAAGAATCTAAACTATTATTTTAGTTAAAGTAATATTTTCTAATATTTGAGATTTAAATATACAAATTAGTTGTAAATTGCTCTTGTTACTTCATATTGAAAGAAGTAACCATTAATGACATTCCATTTAACTTTTGATTGACACTGTGATTGAAACATAATAAAATGTCTTTCTTGTTTTTGAAGCTGTGCTCTACATAAGCTGAGTATGTATGTAAATATTTTACATATTCAATAGTGCATTTTACTGTTTTTAATTATCCCTTTTGAGATTTTATATTGTATAGTCTTGGAATTTCCACAAAACAATGGCATATTTGTTAATATACACAAACAACCAAATTACTTGACTCTTGCTTACTACTCATAAGATAATTGTTATTTGCTATATGTTTATGAGACTTAGAGTTACTTTGTAAGATAATCTGTGATTAAATGACTCATTTTAGCATATCTACAACCCTTAGAATAATAGCCATATAGTATCATTCTACTGAACATGAATAAAAATAAAATCAATACCCCATGTACAGGGTGAAGTAAGTGTGGTTTTGCCAGTCTGGGAAGTTTTCTGAAATGGAGAAGTGGAAACCCACCTGATGAGCAATATAAGACTATTTTTCTCTACCTAGATAGAATCAGTGTATATAGAGGAAAGCTTTGAGTAGCTGGTAGAAGGTAGAAGTTGATCCATAGCTATAAAAAGAGTCCTTTTATTAGGAACAAAGGACTAAGGTATTTGCATGTGAAAATGTTCCAGCCTTATTGTGACAATAATGAAGAATTCTCAGGTTACTCGCTGAATAGAACAGTATGTATAAGGTCAAGGAACAGTACAATGTTTCAAACAGGACAGGTATTATGCTTCATATTCACCCTAACCGGTTAACAATCCTTTGGATTTAGTATTTCCTCTGTGTTTTTTTTTTTTTTAATATTTAAGCCAGTTTAGCTTCATAAGTGAAATATCTTAGGGTAACTGAAACTACCTGCTACAGCAACTCCTAAATCCAGTGAATTAACACAGAAAAATATTTTTCTCATTTATGCGAATTCCAAAGCAGATATTTTTGGAAAAGAGTCCATGTGTTGACCTATCAATCTAAAATCCTTCCATTTGAGGATAATGCCCCTAAATATGTGACTTTCAGGGTCACTGAGGAAGGGGAAGAGTAAAGAAGATTATGCTGGGGAGATCTTTTTTTCCCTTAATGTGTCAGATGTGGAAAATTCATGCATCATTGTTTGTTATATTCCTCCTATTTTCTATTCCTCCTCTTCTACGTAGATGCAAGGTTAATGTTGTCTACTATGTACAGAAGAAAAATGAAATGGCCTTTTGAATGAATTGAATAGTCTTTCACAGGTAACAAAGAACTTATGTCCAGTTAAAAGTTGAAAATTTTAAGAGAAGTAGCCAATATTTGAGAGTGAGCATGCCAGTGGCACACATGAAGCAAAGTGGGCAAGGCCTAAGGAAAATATGCAATGTAAAAGAGCAAGGTGAGAGACTTCAGCCATATTTTGTGCTCTAAACCTTAAGTATTCATTAAGAATGGTTTTACTTAAATTCTAACCATATGTTTATTTATTTCTCATTTTTTAGTTTTATGGTAGTCTTGAAATTATTTTATAACGCCAAGAGGATAGGAACGTCTTAATAAACTTAAAGAGCACATTTGCAAAATTCATGAAGTAGTATTACTTAAATATAAAAAATGTCTCACAACAGTGACATTTATATTTGACAGTCAATAGTTGTATCAGATTTATTTCTATTTGATTTTCAAATCATGTTTTTAATGTTTTCTGTTAAATCTTTATCACTTATGGTGTTCATGTTTCAAGATCAGTTTCATCTATTTAAAGGTATCTAACATCATTTTATATGGCTCAATTTCCGTTTAAATTCAAAATTGGGTATGGCAGCTTATTAAAGTACTAATAAAAATAAAAGGAGCTTTAATGATTATATAGGAATTGCCTATGTTCAGTTAATTTCAATAGAATATCACATATAACTTTAATATGCATGGAGGAAACAGCAGAGTGCCTATTTTTCAAAATTAAACACTGAAAAAACAATGTAAAACAATAAGCATAATTGTGAAATTTTATACTAGCATAACCTTTTATTCAAGACATTCATAATTTTCTAATAGTGAAAAGTTTTATAGTTTTTAGTCAACAATACTAAGGTAAAATATTAAGTATTTAGAATTCATTGCTAATATTCTCTTTGGGATAAATGGTATGCTTATTTTGTCGGGTTGGGTAATTTTTCTTACTTTTTTTTTTTTTTTTTTTTTTTGAGACAGTCTGGCTTCTTCACCCAGGCTGGAGTGCAATGGCACGATCTCAGCTCACTGCAACGTCCGCCTCCCAGGTTCAAGCGATTCTCCTGCTTCAGCCTCCCCAGTAGCTAGGATTACAGGCATGTGCTACCATGCCTGGCTAATTTTTGTGTGTTTGGTAGAGACTTGGTTTCAACCTGTTGGCCAGGCTGGTCTCGAACTCCTCACCTCAAGTGATTCATGGGTTGGGTCATTTTTCTAATGACCTTTAACATCAAGATCGGCCACTAAAACATAAAAACTTAGCCATTTCCTCTATGTTAGAAAAAAAATTGCATCTACTTTTGGATGCATATTTAAAACAAAATTTAATTGCTAATATCAGTTTTTTTTTTCCTCAACAAACTTAGAGGAAAGTTATACACTGAGACAGGTGACATTAGTTTCTAAAGATGAATAATGATTCTCGATAATGCTTTGATTTCGTTTGCATTACTGTACATTATTGCTTGTTTTATTTATTTATTGAAATATATACCAATCTGTCAGGGGATCCTTGCAAGAACCCCAATAAATAATTAAGATTCATAAAACCATGTAGAAGAGCAATTTATAGCTAAAAATCTTTACCAAACTAAAATGTTATCACTGTCAATTTTCCCATTTGTCTTTCAAAACACCTGCTATGTGTCATTTATGGGAGCTAAGACCAATATAGAACTACAATAATTAGAATCATGAACAATTATATTTCTATATAAATATTTTTCAAACAAATCTCCTTTTATATTACATACAAATCTATATTTATTTCTTCTTCAAAGAGCTCAGTTACATAAAACCTTCTGGAATTTTGTTTTTACTCATTCATATTTTGGGAGAAAGCAAAAGAAAACTACTGAAGGGTGAAGAAAGGAAGGCATCTTCCCATAGTTTCAGATGATCATTCTTAAAAGTGGTTTAGAAATAAATGTTAAAAACCTTAGTAAAATTGTACCCTTTATCAGTCACTCTCTAAGAGGAGTGTAAAGTTATCTAAAAATAATTATTTTCTATAAGTATTATTAAAATAATTATATCAACATAATTTTAATGGCAAAATAATGTATGTACACAACAGAAAGAAACTGTATATTTTTAAAAATATAATAGGTGCCACTGCTTGAGAAGATATATTGATCCTGAAGCCTCCACATCCTGCCTCCTGTATATAAAAGCCAGCAACTCATCTTCTTGATATCCTACTTAGAGAAACACTCTCACACACACCCAAGAAGGCATACCTAGGGATGTTTATTAAAATATTGTCTGTAGAATATAAGCTCCATGCAGACAGGGAATTGTGTATACTTGGCTCACAGCTGTATCACCTGTGAAAGGGATTCATGGTACTTACTTGTCTTCATTCATTTTGTGCTACTATCACCTAATACCACATATAGGTAATTTATACTATTATTTGCTTGTTAAAAGTTCTGGAGGCTGGAAAGATATTTATTTATTTTCTTACAGTTTTGGAGGCTGGGAAGCTCAAGATCAAGGTACCAATATCTGTCAAGGCCTTCTTGCTGTGTCATCACATGGTGGAAGGTGGAAGGGCAAAAAACAGAGCCTACTTCCAAAAGCACTTTTACTAAGGCTGTAACCCCACCCATGACTGTGGGAAAATAGAACCCTCCTGACCTAATTACCTCTCCAAGGTCCCACATCTTACTATTGTTAAAACGACCATTCAATTTCAACATGAGTTTTAGAGGGGACAAGCATTCAAATCATAGCAGTGCTTATGAATTTTTATAGCATAAACTGTACTGCAGAAGTTTCAAAGAACGAGTTAGGACTATTGTTAGTGACACTCACTTGTTTGTGTGGTTAAAAAAACTCATAAAATCTACCCTTTTGACACAGTTTCGTGTATGCACTGCAGTATTGGTAACTATATGTACAATGTAATCAATAAGGTCTCTCGAATTTTTTTGGATTGCATAACTAAACTTAATATTCATTAAAAAACAGCTCTCCATTTCTCCCTCTTCTTAGCTCATGGAAACCATTATTCTATTTTTTGCTTCTATTAGTTTGACTACTTTAGATACCTCACATAAATTGAATTAGCCAGTATTTGTCTTTCTGTGATTTTCTTTATTCACTTAGCATAACGTTTTCAATTTTCACCCATGTTGTAGTTTATAACATGATTTCCTTCTTATTTAAGGCTCAATAATATCCCATTGCATAGTTCACGTTTTCTTTACTCATTCCTCTACTGGTGGGCATTTAGGTTGCTATCATGTCTTGGCTAATAATCCCCCAGTGAACATGAGTTTGCAATAATCTTTTCAAGGTTGTGTTTTTAGTGCTTTTGGAAATATATGAAGAAGTGAAATTGCTGAATGATATGGTAAATCTATTTTTAATTTTTTGAGGAATTTCCATACTATTTTCTAAAGCAGTAGCACCTTTTTACATTCTCACAAACAGTAGACAAGGGTTTTAATTTTTCCATCTCTTCTATAATAGTATTCCTTGTTTTCTGTTTGTTTTGTTTTATAATGGTTATGCTAACATGTGTGAGGTTATATCGAGTTATGGTTTGATTTGCATTTCCCTGATAATTAGTGATGTCAATCATCTTTTCATATGCCTGTTGGTCATTTGTATGTGTTCTTTAGCAAAATATCTATTTAAAACCCTCATCCATTTTAACTGGGTTATATGTTTCTGCTTTTTTTTGTTATTAAGTTGCAGGAGTACCTTATATATTTGCATATTAACCCCTCTCAGATGTATGATTTACACATTTTTTCCTGATTTCATAGATTCCCTTGTCATTTTTTTTCTTTTCTCCTTTCCTTCCTTGTAGCTTTTTAGTTTGATGTAGTCTGAATATATTTTTGCTTTTTTCCTGTGCATTTGACATCATATACAGTAATCATTGCCATGACCAATATTATGATTTTCCCTTATTTTTTTACTAATATTTTTATAGCTTAAGGTCTTACATTTAAGTTGGTAACCCATTTTGAATTAATTTTTGTGTATGGTGTAAGGTAAGGATTCAAATTCATTAGTTTTGCATATGGAAACCAATATTCCCAATGATTTGTTAAAGAGACAGTCTTTCCTCTGCATATAGTCTTATCACTCTTGTCAAAGATCATTTGATTTTATAATCATTAATTTATTTCTGGGCTCTTTATTCTGTTTCATTTGTTTATGTGTCTGTGTTTATGCCAATATTATACTGTTTTGTTTACTGTAGCTATATATACTATTTTTTGATGTCAGGAAATCTGAGGCCTCCAGCTTTGTTGTTCTTTCTCAAGATTGTTTGGTAATTCAAAGTCCTTTATAGGTCATATACATTTTAGGATTGTTTTTCAATTTCTTCAAAAAATGCTATTGGAATTTAAAAGAAAATTGCATTGAAACAGTAGTCCTCCGAATAGTATGAGCATTATAGCAATACTGCACTTCAAATCCATAAACATGGAATGTCTTTCCATTAATTTGTGTCTTCTATAATTTTATTCAACAATATTTTGTCATTTCTTCTTTCAAACTTATTTTTTTAACTTTTAAAAGTTTCTATGCATACATGTTAGGTGTATATATTTATGGGGTACATGAGATATTTTGATATAAGCATATAATGCATAATAATCACATCAGGGTAAGTGGATATACATCTCCTCAAGCATTTATATTTCTTTGAGTTATAAACATTCCAATTATACTCTTAGTTATTTAAAAATATACAATTAAATTTTTGTTGACTGTAACCACCTTGTTATGTTAGCAATTACTAGATCACGTTTATTCTATCGAACCATATTTTTGTGCCCATTAACCTTAACTATCCCAATTCCACACACCACACTACCCTCCATGCTACTATTCTCAGCCTCTGGTAACCATTCTTCTGCTCCCTATCTCCGTGAGTTCAATTCTATTTATTTTTTGCTATGACAAATGAGTTAAAAACCCCTTTAAAACTTTACTTTCTGTGTCTGGCTTATTTCCCTTAACATAAAGTTCTATAGTTATATCCATATTTTTTGCAAATAACAGAATCTCATTCTTTTTCGTGGCTGAATAGTATTCCATTGTTTATAGGTACCATATTTTATTTATCCATTTGTCTATTGATGGACACTTAAGTGGCTCCCAAAACTCAGCTATCATGAATAGTGTTCAATAAACATGGGGGTGCAGATATCTCTTTGATTTACTGACTAGTTTTCTTTTGGATATATACTTAATAGTAGAACTGCTGGATACTATAGTAGTTAAATTTTCAGTTTTTTTAAGGAACATCCATATTGTTTACCATAGTAGTTGTACTTAACATTCCCACTAACAGTGTAGAAGGGTTCCCTTTTCTCCACATCCTCATCGGCATTCATTATTGCCTGTGTTTTGGATAAAGCCATTTTAACTGGAGTGATTTGATATCTCATTGTGGTTTTGATTTGTTTTTTTCTAATAATCAGTGATAATGAGCACATTTTCATATATTTGTTTGCCATTCGTATGTCTTATTTTTAGAAAGGTCTATTCAGATATGTTGCCAGTTTTTTAAATAAAGATTATTAGATTTTTGTCTATATAGTTGTTTGGATTTTTTTTTTTTTTTAGATGGAGTCTTGCTCTGTCCCCCAGACTGGAGTGCAGTGGCATGATCTTTGCTTACTGCAACCTCTGCCTCTTAGGTTCAAGTGATTCTCCTGCTTCAGCCTCCCGAGTAGCTTGGATTACAGGTGTGTGCCACCATGCCCGGCTAACTTTTGTATTTTTAGTAGAGACAGGGTTTCACCATGTTGGCCAGGCTGGTCTTGAACTCCTGACCTCAGGTGATCTGCCTGCCTCGGCTTCTCAAAGTGCTGAGATTACAGGCATGAGCCACCATGCCCGGCTGTTTGAACTTCTTATAGAGTCTGGTGATCAATCCTCTGTTAAATTGGTAGTTTGCAAATATTTTCTCCAATTTTTCACTTTGTTGTTGGTTTTCATTCTTTTGCAGAAAGTTTTTTAACTTGTTGTGATCCATGATGTCCATTTTTGCTTTGGTTGCCTATGAATTTAAGGTAGTACTCATAAAATCTTTGCTCAGACTAATGTCCTGAAGTGTTTCACTATAGTTTTTTTTTTTTTTTTTTAGTGGTTTCATAGTTCAAAATCTTAGATTTAAGTCGTTAATCCATTTTTATTTGATTTCTGTTTATGGCAAGAGATAGGACTCTAGTTTCATTCTTCTACATATGGATATCCAGAAGAATGTATATTCTCTTGATTTGGAGTGGAGAGTTCTGTAGATGTTTTTCAGCTCCACTTGATCCAGAGCTGAGTTCAAGTGGTGAATATCCTTGTTGATTTTCGGTCTCATTGACCCATCTAATATTGACAGTGGGGCATTAAATTCTCCCACTATTATTGTGTGGGAGTCTAAGTCTCTTTGTAGGTCTCTATGAACTTGTTTTATGAATCTGGATGCTCCTGTATTGGGTGCATATATATTTAGGGCAGTTAGCTCTTCTTGTTTAATTGATCTCTTTACCATTATGTAAGGTCCTTCTTTGTATTTTTTGATCTTTGTTGGTTTAAAGTCTGTTTTATCAGAGACTGGGATTGCAACCCATGCTTTCTCTTGCTTTCTGTTTGCTTGGTAAATTTTTCTTCATCTTTTTATTTTGAGCCTATGTGTGCTTTGAACATGACATGGGTCTCCTGAATACAGCACGCTAATGTGTCTTTACTCTTTATCTAAACACCTCTGTGTAAATAAATTAGAAAATCTAGAATGAGTGGATAAATTCCTGGACACATACACACTCCCAAGACTATAGCAAGAAGTTGAATCCCTGAATAGACCAATAATAAGTTCTGAAATTGAAGCAGTCATCAATAGCCTACCATCTAAAAAAGCCCAGGACCAGACATACTCACAGCCGAATTCTACCAGAGGTATAAAGAGGAGCTAGGACCATTTCTTCTGAAACTACTGCAAACATTTGAAAAATAGGGAGTCCTCCCTAACTCATGTAATGAATCCAGCATCATCCTGATACTAAAGCCTGGCAGAGACACAACAAAATAGAAAACTTCAGGCCAATATCCCTGATGAGCTTCAATGCAAAAATCCTCAATAAAATACTGGTAAACTGAATCCAGCAGCACATCAAAAAATTTATCCTCCATGGTCAAGTTGGCTTCATCCATGGGATGCAAGGCTGGTTCAACATACACAAATCAGTAAACATAATTCATCACATAAAATGAACCAATGACAAAAATTGCATGATTATCTTAATAGATGCAGAAAAGGGATCTGATAAAATTCTACATCCTTTCATGTTAAAAACTCTCAATAAACTAAATATTGATGGAACATATCTCAAAATAATAAGAGCTATTTATGACAAACCCACAGCCAATATCATATTGAATGGGCACAAGCTAGATGAATTCCTTTTGAAAACCAGGATACCGTCTTTGACCACTTCTATTCAACACAGTATTTGAAGTTCTGGCCAGGGCAATCAGTCAAGAGAAAGAAATAAAGGGTATTCAAATAGGAAGAGAGGGAGTCAAATTGTCTCTGTTTGCAGACAACATGATTTTATAACTAGAAATCCCCATCATCTCAGCCAAAAACTCCTTAAGCTGATAAGCAACTTCAGCAAAGTCTCAGGATACAACATTCATGTGCAAAAATCACAAGCATTCCTTTACACCAACAATAGATAAGCTGAGAGCCAAATCATTAATGAACTCCTAGTCAAAATTGCCACAAAGATAATGAAATACCTAGGAATACAGCTTACAAGGGATGTGAAGGACCTCTTCAAGAAGTACTACAAACCACTACTAAAGGAAATAAGAGAGGACACAAACAAATGGAAAAACATTCCATCCTCATGTGTAGGAAGAATCAATATCGTGAAAATGGCCATACTGCCCAAAGCAATTAACAGATTCAGTGCTATTTCCATAAAACTACCATTGACGTATTTCACAAAATTAGAAGAAACCACATTAAATTTCATATGGAATGAAAGAAGACACCATATAGCCAAGACAATCCTAAGCAAAAAGAACAAAGTGGAAGGCATCACACTACTCAACTTCAAACTATAATACAAGGCTACAGTAACCAAAACAGCATGACACTGGTACCAAAACAGCATGATACTGGTACCAAAACAGACATATAGGCCAATGGAACAGAACAGAGACCTCAGAAATAACACTACACATCTACAACCATCTGATCTTCAACGAACTTGACAAAAACAAGCAATTGGGAAATAATCTATTCAATAAATGGTGCTGGGAAAACTGGCTAGCCATATTCAGAAAACTGAAACTGGACCTCTTTGTTACACCTTATACAAAAGTTAGCTCAAGATGGATTAAAGACTTAAATGTAAAACTCCAAACCATAAGAACCCTAGAAGAAAACCTAGGCAGTACCATTTATGACATAAGCATGGGCAAAGATTTTATGACAAAAGCAATTGAAACAAAAGCCAAAACTGACAATTGGGATCTAACTAAACTAAAGAGCTTCTGCATAGCAAAAGAAACTATCATCAGAGTGAGCAGGCAATCTATAGAATAAGAGAAATTTTTTACAATCTACCCATCTGACTAAGGTCTAATACCCAGAATTTACTTAAAAGAAACTTAAACAAATTTACAAGAAAAAAAAAAAACCCATCACAAAGTGAGCAAAGGATATGAAGAAACACTTCTCAAAAGAAGACATTTATATGACCAACAAACATATGAAAAAAACCTCAACATCACTGATCATTAGAGAAATGCAAATCAAAACCACAGTGAGATACAATCTTATGCCAGTCAGAATGGCAATTATTAAAAAGTCCAGAAACAATAGATCCTGGCAAGGCTGTGGAGAAATAGAAAGGCATTGACACTGTTGGTGTGAATGTAAATTAGCTCAACCATTGTTGAAGACAGTATGGCAATTCCTTAAGGATCTAGAACCAGAAATGCCATTTGACCCAGCAATCGCATTACTGGATACATACTCAAAAGAATATAAATCATTGTACTACAAAGACACATGCACACATATGTTATTGAAGCACTATTTACAATAGCAAGTCATGGAACCAACCAAAATGCCTATGAATTATAGACTGGATAAAAGAAAATATGCCACATATACCATGGAACACTATGCAGCCATAAAAAGGAATGAGATCATGTCCTTTGCAGGGACATGGATGAAGGTGAAAGCCATCATTCTCAGCAAACTAACACAGGAACAGAGAACCCAACACCCCATGTTCACACTCATAAGTGGGAGTTGAATGATGAGGACACATGGACACACGGAGGGGAACAGCACACACCTGGGCCTGTTGGGGTGTGGGGGTTGAGGGAAGGCAACTTAAAAGATGCGTCAATAGGTGCAGCAAACCACCATGGCACACAGATACCTATGTAACCTGCACATTCTGCACATGTATCCCAGAACTTAAAGTAAAATTTAAAAAAAGTATCTAGCTATTATAATATTCGCATCTATTTCTCTCTTGAGCTTTAATAATATTTTAAAATCTATCTAGGTGCTCTAGTGTTAGGTGCGTATATATTTATAGTTGTTATATCATCATGTTGAATTAACCCATTTGTCATTATATAATGACTTTCTTTATTTCTTTTCGTAGTTTTGCCTTGAAATCTATGTCTGATGTAAATATAGCTGCTCTTGGTCTTCTATGGTTTCCATTGGCATGGAATATCTTTTTCCATCCCTTTATTTTGAGTCTATGTGTGTCTTTATAGGTGAAGTTTGTTTCTTGCAGGCAACAGATTATTGGGTCTTTTTTTTTTTAATCCTTTCAGCCACTCTATGTCTTTTGATTGGAGAGTTTAGTCTATTTATATTCAATGTCATTATTGATAAGTAAGGACTTAGTCCTGCCATTTTGTTATTTGTTTTCTGGTTGTTTTGTGGTTTTCTCTTCTTTCTTTCCTTCCTGTCTTCCTTTAGTGAACATGATTTTCTCTGGTAATATAATTTACTTTCTTACTTTTTATTTTTTGTGTATCCATGGTATGTTTCTTGGTTTTAAGTTTCCATGAGGCTTGCAAATACTATCTTATAACCCATTATTTTAAGCTGATAATAACTTAAAATTGGTATGAAGGAACAAACAAATATACGAGAAAAGAGAAAATTAACAAAATTTCTATGCTTCAACTTCGTCTTCCCACTTTTTAACTTTTTGTTGCTCCTATTTATATCTTATTGTACTGTCTATCCTTGAAAAGTTGTCATAGTTATTATTTTTTGTTGATTCATCTTTTAGCCTTTCTACATAACTTAAGAGTAGTTTACATACCACAGTTATAGTGTTATAATATGCTGTGTTTCTCTTGTCCTTATTATTACCAATGAGTTTTATACCTTCAGATGATTTTTATTGCTCATTAACATCCTTTTCTTTATGACTAATTTCCTCCCTTTAGTTTTTCTTGTAGGACAGGTACAGTGTTGATGAAATCTCTCAGCTTTTGTTTGTCTGGGAAAGTTTTTACTTCTCCTTCATATTTGAAGGATATTTTTGTCAGATATACTATCCTAGAAAAAAAGTTTTCTTTTCTCTTTATCTTTTTAAGTATGTCACGCTACTCTCCCTTGACCTGAAAAGTTTCCACTGAAAACTCTGCTGCCAGATATATTGGCGCTCCATTGTATATTATTTGTTTCTTTTCTCTTGCTGCTTTTAGGATTATTTCTTTATCATTCATCTTTGGGAGTTTTATTATGAAATATCTTGAGGCTGTCTAATTTCAGTTACATCTGCTGTAATCTTGTTCTGTAATCTTGTACTTAAATATTGATAACTTTCTCTAGATTTAAAAAGTTCTCATTACTATCTCTTTGAATAAACCTTCTATCTCAATCTTTCTCTCTACTCCCTCTTTAATGTCAATAAATCTCAGATTTGTTCTTTGAGGCTATTTTCTAGTTTTCATAAGCCTGCTTCCTTTATGTATATATTTTTTCTTTCATCTTCTCTGTATTTTCAAATAGCTTGTCTTCAAGTTCACTCATTCTTTCTTCTGCTTGATCAACTCTTATAGTAAGACATTATGGTACAATTTTCAGTATGTCCATTGCATTTTTCAACTCCTGAATTTCTGTTTAATTTGTTTTAATTATTTCAAACTATTTGTCAAATTTATCTGATAGGATTGTGAATGCCTTATCTATGATATCTTGAATTTCATTGAACTTCCTAAAAACAGCTGTTTAGAATTCTCTATCTAAAAAGTCACATATCTCTGGCTCTCCAGGATTGGTCACTAGTGCCTCATTTAGTTAGTTTGGTGAGGTTATGTTTTCCTGGATGGTCTTAATGCTTGTGGATGCCCATTGGTATCTGGGCATTAAAGAGATAGGTATTTATTGTAGTCTTTGCAGTCTGGGCTTGTTTGTATCTGTCTTTCTTGAGAAGGCTTTCCAAGTATTCAAAATTAATTGGGTGTTGTGATCTGAGTCTTTGGTTACTGCTATCATTTCTGCATTTGTGGGCACCCAAGCCCAGTATAGTGTAATATTTGGAGACTTGTAAAGGCAATGCTATGCTTACCTTGAGTAAGATCTGAGAGAATTTCCTGGATCACCAGGCAGAGACTCTCAACCTTGTCCCTTACCACACCCCCAAACAAATGAAGCCTCTCTCTCTCTCTCTATTCTGAACTGCCTGGAGTTGATGGAGGGTTACCATAATCAACCCCATGGCCACCACCACTGGGACTGCACTCAGTCAAATCTAAAGTCAGTAGAGAACTAGGTCTCTTCTGAGGCCAGCATGACCACTGCCTGGCTACTGCCCATGTTCACTCAAGAGCCAAGGGCCCTTCAGTCAGCAAGTGGCAAATCCAACCAGGCTTGTTTCTTTCTTTTAAGGGTGGCAAGCTCCTAACTGGCCCAGATCCTGTCCAGAAATGTCCAGGAGCCAGGGCCTGGTGTCAGGAACCTTAGTAATCTACTTGGTGCTCTTTTCTACTGTGGCTTAGCTGGCACCCAAGCTGCAAGACCAAGTTGTTCCCACTCTTCCCTCCTGTTTCCAAAAGCTGAGGAGGTCTCTCTAATGGCCACTTAATGGCCCCAGGTCCGTGAGCAAGTACTCTCTGGCTACTGCCAATGTTCATTCAAGGACCAAAGGCTCTTAAGTCAGCTTGGGGTGAATGCTGCCAGCCCTGTGCCTTTTCCTTCAGGTTAGTGGAATCCCCACTTGCCCATGGCATTTCCATAAATGCATTCAGGAGCCGATGCTTGGAATTGGGACACCAGGAGCCCATTTTGTGCTCTACCCCACTGTGGCCATTCAGTTTCCCATGCTGCATGGCACAGTCCCCTTTACTCTTCTGTTTTATTTTCTCAAGCAGAAAGAGTCTCTCCCTGTGGCCACCACAGCTGGGAAGGTACTAGCCCACACCTGAAGCCAGCACACAACTGGATGTTACCCCAGCCCATAGAAAGTACTGCCTAGCTAATGTTGTTTATTACTCGAGGCTTGAGGGCTTTTTATTCAGCAGGTGATGGATTCTTCCAGAACTGGCTCTTTTTCTTCAAGTCAGCAGGTTTCCTTCTGATCCAGGCTGTGTCTAGAAATGTTATCTGAGAGCTAAGACCTAGAGTGAGAGCCTCAGGACTCTGCTTTGTGCCCTACGCTACTGTGGCTGTGCTGGTATCCAAATTGCAAGACAAAGCCCCCTTCTTTCCTCAAGGAGTAGAAGGGAGTCTCTCCTGGAGCTGGGAGCTGCACTGCTGGGGTTGTAGGAGGGCGCCGCAAGTCCACAGGCATTGAGCACAGCACAGCACTAGGACTTGCCAAGGAATTGCAGTCCTTGTGGCATATCCTGCTTTTCAAGTTTATTTAGGACCCGCATATCACTTTAGCCCACTGTGGCATAGCCAGAACTCAGGTTCCAACTGCTGGGATGGATGATTCTCCTTTGGCTAGGGCAGGTCTAAATGCTTCTTCCATGGATGCTGTCTGAGTTCTGCCCTGTATTGCTTTCTGCTGTGACAGGAAACACTGAGTTCCAATGCAAAGTCCTGCATTGGACTCTCTGGACTCTCTGCCTGCCAGGTGCACAGAATCTCTCTCTGCACCATGCAGTGACTGCAGGGAGATGGGAGAGTGGTGAGGTCAGCAATTCAAGACTGCCTTTCCTGCCCTCTTTAACTCTTCATTACTTGACATGATGTTAAAAGCAGGTACCGTGATCACTCACCGGACTTTTGGTTCTTGTGAAGGTGCTTTCTTGTTTGGATAGTTATTCAATTTGGTGTTCCTGCAAGATGGGGGTTGGGGGGACGATCACTAGAGGGTTCGATTTAGCCATCTTGCTTAATCTCCCTCCTGTAGTTTTCAATATACAAATCTTTTGCCTTCTAGATTTAGCTTATTCCTAGGTATTTTGTTCTCTCTGATGCTATTTTAAATGAAATCGTTTTCTGAATTTATTTTTGGATTATCGCTAGTGTACAGAAAAATAACTGATTTTGTATTTTGATTTTATATCTTGTAACCTTGCTGAATTCAATTATTAGTTCTAACAATTCTGTCTAATCCTTAAGGTTTTCTACATATAAGATCATGACATTTTCACACAAAGATGATTTTACTTCTTCTGTTCTGATTTAGATGCCTTTTGTCTCTTTTTACGTTTTTGCCTAATTGCTCTAAGACATTAAGTATTATTCTGAATAGAATTGGTGAGAGTTGGCAACCTTATTTGGTTCCTGAACTAAGCCTGATTTTACAAGAATATCTTTTATTATTTCACGTGTTGAGTATGATGTTTGCCATAGTCTTTTCATATATGACCTTTGTTAGATTGAAGTATTTTTTTTCTATTTTTAGGTGGTTGGTTGTTTTATCATGAAAAAGTGTTAAATTTTATTAAATGCTTTTTCTGCATTTATTGCTATAATCATGTTATTTTTATCATTTGTTCAGTTAAGTGTAGTATACACACTGATTTATTTTTATATGTTGAAACATCATAGCATCCCAGGGATAAATCACACATAGACATGGTACATGATCCTTTTAATGAATATCAAATTTGATTGACTAGTATTTTGATGAGGATTTTCTTTATCTATGTTAATCATGGATATTGGTCTGTGTTTTTGTTTATTTATTTGTTTTGTAGTGACTTCATGTGATTTTTGTATCAGAATAATGCTGACCTCATAAAATAAGTTGGGAAGTGTTGTTTTCTTTTTAATTATTTGGAAGAGTTTAAGAACAATCAATGTTAATTCTTTGAATGCTTGGTAGAATGCTCCATTGATGCTATCTTGCAGTGGTTATTTTCGATTTTGGGAAATATTTGATTTTTGATTTAATTTCAACTAATTATAGGTCTGTTCAGATTCTCTATTTTTTCATGAATCCTTTTTTATTATTTAATTTACTTGTTTATTTATTTTGAGAGGAAGCCTCACTCTGTCACCCAGGCTGGAGCGCAGTGGCACAATCTCAGCTCACCTCAACCTCCACCTCCTGGGTTAAAGCAATTCTCCTACCTCGGCCTCCCGAGTAGCTGAGATTACAGGTGCCCGCCACCATGCCCGGCTAATTTTCGTATTTTAGTAGAGACAGGGTTTCACCATGTTGGTCAGGCTGGTCTCAAACTCCTGACCTCAAATGATCCGCCCACCTTGGCCTCCCAAAATGCTGGGATTACAAGCGTAAGCCAACACACCTGGCCTCATGAATCCTTCTTAAAATTGGAATTTCTTCATTTTGCCTAGGTTATTTAATTTGTTGGTGTACAATTGTTCATTGTAGTCTCTTACATTCCATTTTATTTCTGTGTGATCAGTTGTAATGTTTTATTCTTCATTTATGATTTAAGTCTTGTTTTGTTTAGTCTAAGACTTTGCCACTTTTGTTAATATTTTAAAAAATAACCCAATATCATTAATTTTAAAAAATATTTAATCCTAGTCTCTATTTTGTATACTTCTGTGCTGATATTTATTATTTTCTTCCTTTGATTAAATTTTGATTTTAATTGTTCTTCTTTTCCTAGTTTCTTGAGGGTAAAGTTAGATATTTGATTTGAGACTTTTCTTCTTTGTTAACTAAGGCATTTACCACTACAAACTTGTCTCTTAGTTAGCTTTTGCTGCATCCCATATGCTTTGGTATGTTGGCTTTTTTACTTTCAATTATCTCCATACATTTTCTATTTTGTAGGTCTCAAATATTTCCAAATAAAAGTGTGAAAATAAATTGAGTATATAAGGGTATATTTGTGGGATATAAGATATTGTCATTATATTGTTTGTAGAAAATTAATATTTTTTGTACTCTGTTAAATGCTTTAATGTATTTTCTTTCTTTGGATTCGGTTTTAGAAAACTTGTAGTCTACGTTTTTAACTACCAAAATAATGCTCTATCTTTCCCATATATATACATATGTAATTTCCAGCAGGTAATAATGCTTGTTACATTTTTCAAATAACTATATTAATGTCTTGGGTCAAAGTCCATGAGGGAAGTCTCCTTTCTCATCAGTTAAATGAGTTTGTGTGTGTAACTGAGTATGTAGGTATGGAGTGGACATCCCACAGAGCTGTGCATAGAACACTTGAAATACGGTTAGTATGATGGAGGATCAGAAATATTATATATCTGCAGCATAAAATATAAAACTTGTAGCATAGTCTTTGGATATAACATCTGTCAAGGAATAATTTCAGATAGATAAAGACAAAATTAATTTCTATCATGGCTGATTGTACTCTTTCTATGTTAGGTCACAAGTTAGGATTTATTGGAATCTCAGAACAAGAGACTGAAGTTCCCATTCAAGTTTTATTCCACTGTATGATACATTTGCCTTTATTTGTGCTCAGTTTTCTGAAGCAAATGCTTAGAAAAATGTCGTGGATATAGTTGTTGAAATTTTTCGGTGTGTTTGTGCAAGTGTTATGTATCATCACTAATTTATGAAATTGTTTAGAGAAACAGAAGATGATGGATTTAGTATTTCTCTTATTTTTATATTAATTCATGTAAAGTTTTCAGGTTGTTTTGAATACCCAAAATATGACAGTAACTTGGCTGATAGGCACAATAGGAAAACAAAAATCAAGTAAGAGTGTTTCTTTTACACAGAGAATTAATTATAGGTAAGAACACAGTGGCATTCCCTATCAGTAGGCGAAGTTTTCTTATGTTTAGTTGCCATCTGCTGAAGTAAAATCTAGTTTAAGTAATTATTCTATATTTTTTCATTTATAATTATTTTTAATATTTAAATACAAAAAGTGAACGCCGGCTTCTGGTTTTCTTTACACACACACACACACACACACACACACACACAAGTCTAATAGACAAAATGTGCACAGGAAAGGAGCTCCTGCTCTGTCTTCCACAGTCCCCATCCTGTGGCTGAAGCTGTTGTTAACATCTCTCCTCTCCAACATACATGGAGATTCATGGTTGCCACTTTACACTACAGTTGTAATGCATTTTGTCTATTTCATATTGTGTGCATATCCCTTCCCAACAGCTCCATTCTAAAAAAATAAAAATAGATAAAGCAGCCAGTAGTGGCCAGCGGCACATGCCTCCCACTGACATAAGTTCCTACGCCACAATGGACAAGTGCGATCTTCCACTTAGGAGCTATTTAGTAAAAGGAGTGGGGTGGCCAGAGGTGGAATAACCATCTGCAAGACTGCATTCTGTTATCAGAGTGAAGACAGAAGAAGTAAGTCGGTATAGTGTGGAGGGCACAGTTGCAAGTTAAGTTTCTCCATGAGACAATCTAGGGAGAATTCTCCCCACCAGGTTTAGGTAGATCAATGTGCAAAAGTTAAAAAAAAATCAAAAAAGTCAGCATTTCAAACAATTTAATTTCAAACTTCTGCTACCAAGACAGCTCAAACAACAGCAGTAAAAATTGAGATCTTTCCAGGAAGTGGAGCTAGAGACCCTGGCATGCCTCCTGACAGCCCCATGTCAGCCCCAGAAGTATCTGCTGTTGCTCCATTTGTAACTTCTCAGCCTCAAAGACAACATGAAAAACGAGGATTATATTGGAAGTAACCCCAGTCCACAAGGATGACCTGGAAAACCTGTGCATGTTTTGAGCCATAAGAAGGGAGATATCAAAAGTGGCTGTGGCTGCAGACTGGACCCTATATGCAAATATCTTGGTTAGGCCCCATGGTCTCTTCGGCATGCTTTCATCTAGCTTCTCCTCATCATTCTCTTCCAGCTCCTACTTAGTCTTCTGCACATTGCTTTTCGGGAGCAATTAGTTTGGGGACAGGGGTTCCACAGCAAAAGTAGCAGTGACAGCAGCAGCCATGGCTACTCTATTATATTTTTTATGACACTAATTTCCTTATATACCTAAGTCCATTTATATTCCTCTGACCCCTCTCTAGTGTTTTGGACACACATGGCTGCCTGACTACTTAGGTAATCGTTAGTATCAGTCTCAGAATTTCCTATGATTTATGGGATAAATTTACCAAGCTAATTTAATAAATCAATAATCAATTTTCCAGGTAGGCCATATTCATAGAAAAATAAAAACATATTTCAGCTTGCTTGAGGTTACACTGGTATTTCCTCAAATAATATTTATTGATTATAAACCATTACTTTGCTAAGAATTTGTAATATAATAGGTAACAAGATAAAAATGATGAGTCATCAGGATTTTAGTCTTGCAGGAGAGAGACACACCATATTGAAATACTGTCATGCATTGCTTAATAACAGGAAAACATTCTGAGAAATGAGTCTGTAGGTTATTTTGTCACTATGGGAAAATCATAGAGTGCACTTATGCAAACCTAGATGGTATAGCCTACTAACACCTAGGCTACATGGTATAACCGATTGCTTACAGGCTACAAACCTGTATAGCCTACTACTGTGCTGAATACTGTAGGCAATTGCAAGACAATTGTAAGTATGTGTGTACCTGATCATATAAAAACACACAAAAGGTGCAGTAAAAATACTGTACAATAGATTAAAAATGGTATACCTATATAGGGCACTTACCATGAATGGAGCTTGAAGTACTGTAAGTTGCTCCACGTAAGTCAGTGAGTGTTGAGTGAATGTGAAAGCCTAGAGCATTACTGTACATTACTGTAGACTTTATAAACAATGTACACTTAGGCCATACTAATTTAAAAATATTTTTTTTCTGTATTCAATAATAAATTAACCTTAGCTTACTGCAACTTTTCTGTTTGATAATTTTTTAAATTTGTTTAACTTTTTGACTCTTGTAATAAGAGTTTCAAACACAAAAACACTGCACAAAAATATTTTATTATTTTATCCTTATTTTATAAACTTTTATCTACTTAAATATTTAAAATTTATTTTTTAACTTTTTATTAAAAACTAAAACATAAACACACACGTTAGTCTAGGTCTACACAGGGTCAGAATCATCAATATCACTGTCTTCCATCTCCACATTTTGTCCTATTGGAAGGTTTTCAGAGGCAATAACATGCATGGAACACTCTAGTCTCTTAGAATAACAATATCATCTTCTTGAATACCTCCTGAAAGACCTGCCTGAGGCTATTTACGTTTAACTTTTTAAAGTTAGAAGTACACTCTATAATAACAAGGAAAGTATAGTATAGTAAATACACAAGCCAGTAACATAGTCATTTATTATTTTTATCAATTACTATGTACTATATATAATTGTATATGCTATAATTTTATACTGCTGGCAGAGCAGCAGATTTGCTTACACCAATTTGTTTATTCACAGACAAATGAATAATGTGGGGCACTAAGACCTTGCAACCACTATGACATTACTAGGCAACAGGAATTTTTCAGCTTCATTATAATCTTATGGGACCACGTAGTATATGCAGTCTGTCTTGACTGAAATTTCTCTCTGCAGTTTATAACTGTACTCAATCAAATATAAATAACTATAAAGTGTGAAGTGCTTATCAAGGGGATCTAATTTTGTCTTGGGGGAGTGGAGTGGCTTCAGTAAGGTATGTTTTTTTAAAGATTAGCAGAATTTAACCTTGTGGAAAATAGTGCTAAGAATTAGAGGTGGAATGGTCTTCCAGACATCACTGGCCATCAGATAAATGCAAATCAAAACCACAATGAGATACCATCTCACACCAGTTAGAATGGCGATCATTAAAAGTCAGGAAACAACAGGTGCTGGAGAGGATGTGGAGAAACAGGAACACTTTTGCACTGTTGGTGGGACTATAAACTAGTTCAACCATTGTGGAAGTCAGTGTGGAGATTCCTTAGGGATCTGGAATTAGAAATACCATTTGACCCAGCCATCCCATTACTGGGTATATACCCAAAGGATTATAAATCATGCTGCTATAAAGACACATGCACATGTATGTTTATTGTGGCACCATTCACAATAGCAAAGATTTGGAACCAACCCAAATGTCCAACAATGATAGACTGGATTAAGAAAATGTGGCACATATACACCATGGAATACTATGCAGCCATAAAAAATGATGAGTTCATGTCCTTTGTAGGGACATGGATGAAGCTGGAAACCATCATTCTCAGCAAATTATCGCAAGGACAAAAAACCAAACACTGCATGTTCTCACTCATAGGTGGGAACTGAACAATGAGAACACATGGACACAGGAAGGGGAACATCACACACCCAGGACAGTTGTGGGGTTGGGGGAGGGGGGAGGGATAGCATTAGGAGACACACCTAATGCTAAATGATGAGTTAATGGGTGCAGCACACTAACATGGCACATGTATACATATGTAACAAACCTGCACGTTGTGCACATGTACCCTAAAACTTAAAGTATAATAATAATAAAATAAAAAAAAAGAAAAAGTCATTTCCACATGCTCTCTCATGGTTATTTTGGTGATGAGATGATAAGAAGGGAGGTAGTAGCATATTTAAGTAGCTTTTATTGGATTCAAATAGGTGAGAAAACAAGCCTGTCTTGCACTTCCAAGAGTGAACAGCCAATAATATCACTCAGAGGCCTTTTATTTCTGCATATGCTTTTAACTGAAGGTTGACCTCACATAGTTTTCTAACAATGATTTGTAGTAAGACCTGTAGCATCCAAATTTAATTATTATCTCAAAGGACCAAATTTCAAGTAAAAAAATGGTCACACATATTAGAGGTCCAGGGAATCTAGGCAAAAGACAGATCTCTATATTCAATTCTTCATTTTCTATGGGAAGAATTTCAAATTAAATTAATAATTTTTTTCTCTTTTTTACCTTTATTTGTTCCTTTTTTGTTTTATTTTGTTTTGTTTTTAGAGTCGGGTATCACTCTGTCTCCAGGCTAGAGTGCAGTGCTGTAATCATCCCTTGCACGCACTACAGTCTTAGACTGCTAGGCTCAAGCAGTCCTCCCACCTCACCCTCCCAATTAGTTGGAATTATAAGCCTGAGCCACCTAGTGGATCCTTAATAGATTTCTCCACCAAACAGTTTCTAATTGCTATGTTTGCATAAGGACTATCCCTGACATGATATGAACCATCATTTTTCAGGAATCCTCTAAGAGCTGGCATGCACATTAATAGGATATATATAAAAATCAAATAATCAAAAAATCTTAAAGATGAAACAAAAAATGTTACTTCAACTATTTAATAGTTACTACGAATAAAATGATGATTTGAGGGCAGACTGTTTTTCTTGAAGAATAGGGAGAGCACAGTATAACTAACAAAAGTACCTATTGCTATTTATAACAGAGTTGAAAATTTAGGGGACACTGATTTATTTACTATATTTAATAAACATATTTAAATGCTCGAATTTTCTGTGTAAGTCAGAATATATCTAGTCATTTTCAGATAGGCCTCTGATTTATAATGGAATATTACTGATGTTTCACATATAAATGCAAATCTTTTTCTATGAAGAGAATAGGAAATTAACAGATACAATAAACCATATGCTGTACAAAATAAACATTATTTGAAAAAATTTCAAAGTATAGGATCAGCAGAAGCATTTCAGGTTGTTTAGATATAGAATTCCTATATAAGCATACATATAAGCATACATATCAGGCAAAATTCCACATGTAGAAAAAGAAATCTCAACTTTTTATTTTATAATTTGCATCTCATGGTTTATTTTATGAGACAATAATTTGCACTTAAAGGACTAGATGTTACAGATTATTATTTAATTACTTTGCCTTGATAAATTGAGAGGCACTAAATTTCCTTTTAGAACACATCTGAAAGCTCCATTGGCACTTCTGAAAAGAGAAGTGTTAAAATATGCATATCCTGGATCATGCTTTCCAAATTGTTTTAGAATAATAAATATTCAATTATTTTGTCATGGGCTTCTTATTATTCTTTTCATTATTTGAGTTCTTGCTCTGTTGCTCAGGCTGGAGTGCAGTGGCACAATAATGGCTCACTGTACCCTCGAACTCCTGGGCTCCAGTCGTCCTCCCACCTCAGCTTGCTGAGTAGCTGAGACTACAGGCATAGGTCACCATCCCACCCTAATTTTTATGTATTTTGTAGAGGCAAGATCTTGCTGTGTTTCCCAGGCTGGTCTTGAACTCCTGGAGTCAAGCTATCTTCCCACCTCACCCTCCCAAAGTGCTGGGATTATAGGCCTGAGCCACCGCATCAAGCTATTTGTTTTTTGTTTTGTTTTGTTTTTCACATGTTTACTTATGTTTGTGAGTTGGCCTTCTTTAAAAATCAAGATTGCTTTAAAATGTATAATGATTGAAAAATATTTTTTGAAGTTATTTAATTTTTACGTGTGATCACTAGAAATATTGAATGTAGAAATGCTATTAGGATGCTGACAATGAATATATCTAACACAATTATGAAGGTTTTAGAAACTAGAAGGTATTTGTTTATTTTTGAATTATGTTTTATGCTTTCAAAATGTCCAAGTGACCAATTTGCTCTCCTTTGGTATATTTTCGTATCCATTAGTTATTCTATTATAAATTACCTTAAAATGTAAAAATCGATACCTTTAAAACATAGTAACTCTTAAAACAATTTTATAAGTAATTTGTACAGGTAATTTTATACTCTTTAGATTTATTTGAATACTTCCTTAAAGAGGAAAATGAAAAAATATAGGTCAAGAATTATCAGGCATAACAATGACACTAATTACAAAAGACTTGAAAAGTAAATTTAATGTTCATTATTGCAAGAGATAACTACTGGATTCAGGTAAATTATAATATATAGAAATTCAACTTTCATAAAATACAACATACTAAAAATACTTTTGCTTATAATAATTTACTATTTTGACATATCTAACCTTCTGATTGTCCAGGTAGAAAACAGATTTCTACCCTAATTTCATTACAATTTGCAATTCCCATATATATGAGGTTGATCAAGTTAAGCTCATCCTTAATCTGTTGATCAAGTTAAACTCAGTTTATCAGATCTATGGTAATAAGGAAGATCACTCTCTTGACAGAAGTGTAGTCTCAGAAGGGGAGAGCAGGGAGAAAGTTTATATGATTTTGCAATCGTGGCTCAAGTGACATAATGCATTATTTAAGATGGGGATCTGACTATGATTAGGTAAAGTTGTTGGCATCATATTTCAAACTGGTGAACATAGCCAAATGAGAACCTGAAAATGGGTCTGGATAAGTAAATGAATTTATTGATAAGTGAGTTGTTTGCCCCAGTTAATAATCTATTGCTTTGAGAGAAGAGCAATTTATCTAATAAAATTAATTTGTACAAAATTTCTGCAGAAAGCAATAAAGTTATTTCTTGCTTTGTAGCCTTATCTTCCTGGGTAGGAATTTCCTGGGACAGACGTGGGTGACTTATCATGTGAACAAAGACACTCTTGGTTTTCAGTGTATGGCTGGAGGTGTTCTCCCCCGTGGTCATGTTTTAGCCTGAAAAAGAGTCAAAATCATTACCCCATAAGAGTGTGACGAATTCACAAGCTTCAGGGGGTCATTCTTAGCTCTGTAAGCATTGCACTTTCTGTTCATTGACTATTTGATAGCTCATTTAACAAGATATTGGCTCTACAATAACAGCAGTTTAGGCTTGGGATGGCATATATTTGAGCAATATGTATAAATAGTAGGAGAAAGATAGTGATAGTAATACATACTTCACTTCTGAATCATGAGCCAAGAATGTACATATTAAACCAGGAGAAGAGATCTCATACCAAATAGTCTGAAAAATCTGATGTTTGGGTATTTGCTGAAGATTTTATGATTTGTTTCTTCACTATTTTAGAAATGTTAAAGATTGCAGAGTTGTCTGAGTGATGTAAGTAAAAAAATTTTCCACAAGAAAACATGTGTTACCTCTTGAGACACCAGGATTATTTGCATAGCAGCTCTATCAGAAACCATGACTTATTCAATGTCATGGCCCTCTCAAGTGAGTAAGTCTTTGTGTGTCGTTTGCCTGCTATTCTCTGAAGCACATCATGCATATTCCTCAATATTGTAGGCTGTTTTTAATTATGAAATGAAGGTGCTTGAGAATATAATCACATTCAACATTCTCCCTTGAATTAAGTTCATATTCAAATTTCACTTTCTTCTTCCATTATTCTCACAACCACTTTTTCCATGAGACAAAATAGAGGGGCAAGAATACTCTCTTGGTCATATCAGGGACTATTGTTAAGGCAGGCAGTTGTTTAAAAAAGAGCAAATTCCTGTCTAGTGTTTGGTGTAATTAGCCAATAGATATTTATGCTATTAATTCCACACCAGTCATTGTGGACCACCCAATGGTGTGACTGTGGCCCAAACACCTTTCTAAGATTGTTGAATCATATTGTGACTTTTTT